>NW_025791814.1:170129-340259 GCF_000001405.40 Homo sapiens | reverse complement strand
GTACACCAGTGTTCACAATAGCCAAAAGGTGAAAGCAACACAAGTGTCCGTTGACAGATGACTGGATTAAAAAAATGCTGTGTACACATATCTTGAAATATAATTCAGGCTTAGAAAAGAAGGAAATTCAGACACAGGCTACAGCTTGACTGAACCTTGAGGAGATTATGCTAAGTAAAATGAGCCAGATACAAAAAGACAAATACTGTATGATTCTTCTTATAGGAGGTCCCCAGAGAAGTCAAATTCATAGAGACGGAAAGTAGAATGGTGACTGCCAGGGCCTGGGGGCCAGGAAAAGGAGAGAATAGGGATTGTTTAAGAGTTGCCAAGTTTCAGGTTGGGAAGAAGAAAAAGTTTGGGGGATGAATTGTAGTGAAGGCTGTACAGCAATGTGCCTTGCAGCTGAGAAAATGGAAATTTCAAGGACTTTATGGGGAGTCTCCTGTAAATGGACTCAGGCCCCAGAATGAGGGGCTTCCAAGGGTGTTCTGATTTGAAGACAGACTAAGAATGTACTTTGTCCACTGAAAGTGACCAAAATGACCAATTTTTTGTTATGTGTATTTTACCAAAAAAAAAAAAAAAAGAATCCTGAGGACAGCAAGTATTCGCTGTGACTGGGAAGATACTACTGTGGGTGTTTTTTGTTTTTTGTTTTTTTAATTTTACTTTAAGTTCCAGAATACATGTGCAGAATGTGCAGGTTTGTTACATAGGTATATATGTGCCATGGTGGTTTGCTGCACCCATCAACCTGTCATCTAGGTTTTAAGCCCTGCATGCATTAGATATTTGTCCTAATGCTCTCCCTCCCCTTGCCCCACCCACCGACAGGCCCCGGTGCGTGTTGTTCCCCTCCCTGTGTCCACGTATTCTCATTGATCAACTCCCACTTATAAGTGAGAATAGTCAGAATGGCTATTATTAAAAAGTCAGGAACAACATATGCTGGCGAGGCTGTGGAGAAATAGGAATGCTTTTACACTGTGGGTGGGAGTGTAAATTAGTTCAACCATTGTGGAAAACAGTGTGGTGATTCCTCAAGGATCTAAAACCAGAAATACCATTTGACCCAGCAATCCCATTACTGGTTATATACCCAAAGGATTATAACTCATTCTACAATAAAGACACATGCACACTTATGTTTATTGCTGCAGTATTTACAATAGCAAAGACTTGGAAACAACCCAAATGCCCATTAATGATAGACTGGATAAAGAAAATGTGGCATGTATACATGATGGAATACTATGCAGCCATAAAAAAGAATGAGATCTTATCCTTTCCAGGGGATGAAGCTGGAAGTCATCATTCTCAGCATACTGTGGGTGTTTTTATGGCTCCCAGGTGATGTAAGGAATAGGGACCACAGGTTTAATGAAAGATAATCGTGATGTATTGAGTGGCTTGGGAAGATGTTGATTGCAAGTGGATTAGTCACTTCCCTCATTAAGGCTTGCCTCTGTACCCATTGCCTTCATGATGGGCAGAGTGGGCTCCCTACTTCAGATTCCAGATTGTGGTTACTCATATCTAAGTCTTATCCAAGAGACTGCCCTCTCCTCAGCTCTTCTTATTCCCCTCCTGCTCAAGGTACCTGGGCTGTTTCTTTCTACTGGAAGCAGTAGAGGCTGCCTAGGAAGTGGAGTACTGTCCTGACATTCAGGGACAGCATCATCGGTACAAGACCAGTCCAGTCCCACAAGCCAAAGATTATCTGCAGCCGCCATCTTGAATTCTTAACAATTTTGTCTTTGAAATTGTGTTTTGCAAGTGAAGTCCAGTGTGACAATGGAGCATGAACAGGGTATGTGGAGCCACAGCTCCCATGTCATCCCACCTCCCACTGCCTCTCCAGAATAGGTTTTCAGCTGTTCACTTTCCTGCCCCCTGGAGCCCCAGGCTCCCCTTTCCTGCAACTGCCCAGCAATGGCTATGGTCATCCAGTCCATGGGGATCTGGGTAAGTATGTGGAGAAGGTCAGAGACAGCCTCCTGTAACATTTCTGGGTGTGGCACCCCTCCCTGCTTCTAGGTGGCAGTACCAGAGAGTTTACAGAGGATGACCGGGCAGGGTGGGTCTCCAGGTCACTGAAGGTCACCTATTCGACTGAGAGAGGCCTGACTACACGTCCCCACCCTGGCCTGGGTATGATGATGGTGGGGATCCAGGCATGTGGTGGGGCACATGAGTGTGCATGCCAAGTCACAGGGCTGTTACTGGGAGTTAGGGAGGGTCAGCACTTGACCAGCCAGTATCACCATGCCAGAGGAAGTGGGATATTAAATAAAAAATAAAGGCCATCATGACAGAGGGAGAGAGGGAGACCACAGAAGGAAGGAAAAAGCTTTATATTTTAGAACTTTAATGGCACCTTTTTCCTGCTTTTTGAACAAAAGCCTCCATATTTTCATTTTGCTCTGGGTCCTGCAAATTGTGTAGCCAGTCTCGTCTGCTTAATTCTACAAATATGCAATAGGCTTGCGGGAGATGTTTGGGTCTTGCCTTGCAGCTGAGAAAGTGGAAATTTCAAGGACTTTATGAGGAGTCTCCTGTAAATGGACTCAGGCCCCAGACTGAGGGGCTTCCAAGGGTGTTCAGGCTTGAAGACAGTCAGGCTGTCAGATACCCCTGTGGTCAGACACTCTGCACCCTTGGCCTCCTCCGCTACTATAAGGGAAAGAGGCTTTGCACTTGGAATCAGAAGACCTGGATTCTCCTTCTAGATCTTCCATTTACTAGTTGTATGACTTTAGGCTAATTACTTAGTTTCCCCATCCTAGGTAATTATAGGTAAATGGAATTAAGAATCCCTTCTCCACTGAGAAACACATGTGTTGCTGCAAGCTCATGATATGAAAATGATCTGAGACGTGAAAGGACAGAAGGACAGATGCGTTATTAACTAACTGTGCTGCTACTACCATTTAGCTTTCCAGACCCTGGAGGAAGGAAGGAGGAAAGAGAAGGGAAGAGAGGGGATGGGAAAGATTCATCACTTTAGGGATTAATGAAGATCATTTTACTGTATTACTTTTATGGTAATATTGATTTTTTAATAAACTTACTAAATAAAATAGAACTTTGCATTAGGGATAGGAGAGAGGCAAGGGGAATAGGTCTAGTCATTTCCAGTCTTAAACCCCCTAGTTCTCTGTTTCCTTACTTAGAAATTAAGGAGAGGCTGGGCGCGGTGGCTCACGCCTGTAATCCCAGCACTTTGGGAGGCCGAGGTGGGTGGATCGCAAGGTCAGGAGATCGAGACCATCCTGGCTAACAAGGTGAAACCCTCTCTCTACTAAAAATACAAAAAATTAGCTGGGCGTGGTTGTGGGCGCCTGTAGTCCCAGCTACTCGGGAGGCTGAGGCAGGAGAATGGTGTGAACCCGGGAGGCGGAGCTTGCAGTGAGCCAAGATTGCGACACTGCACTCCAGCCTGGGCCACAGAGCAAGACTCCGTCTCAAAAAAGAAAAAAAGAAAGAAAGAAAGAAATTAAGGAGAAAGGGGAGAAGATGTCAAGTAGAAATTAATTCCAAAATTCTCTTATATTCTAATCTTTATTTTTGCCCATTTAAAGGCGGTGTTTGGTGTCTGGTTTCTATTTGACCATCTGCATAGACCTTTGTTAATATAGATGCAAATCCAATTAATCTGCTGGAAATGTTTTGTCTATGTGTCTCACTTCTATTTATAGCATAATTTAGAATCAACTTAAAATAGTACTCATGTGTCTTGGGTCATTTCCATGGCTAGTGTTTTTATTCCATCATGTCGTATGGCTGAAATACTTATGCAGTATATGGAAAAGTTCTTAGCACACAGTCAACACTCATAAAAATTAGCTATTGTTGTTATTATGGCACTGTGAAGGAGAAAACAGAAAAAAGCAGGAGACAGAAATAGAGGGAGGATGAAACAGAAGAAAGAGAGGGGAAAGTGAAGAAGGAAGGAAGGGAAAAATGAAGAAAAAATTGGGAGGGAGGAACAGAAGGATAGAGGGAAAGAAATAAAGAAAAAAGGAGAAGGAGGGGAAATGGCAATTAGTGGGGGAAAAGACCTTGGGGATCATCGGATTGAGTTGTTTCAATCCAGGCTGTATATTTTAGGATCGTCTGGGAAACTTAAATAAATCCATGCATAACCCCCACCCCCAGGGACTCTGAGCCAACGTGCGGTGGGGCCTGAGCACTGGCCTATTTTAAAGGCTTCTAGGTGATTCCGAGATACAGGCCAGGTTGAGAGCCCGTGATCCCATTCAGCTCCTCTATGACTCAGGTGAGAAAGCCAAAACCCAGGACGGCCAAGGGTCCTGCCCAGTCCCAGCGGCAGGAGGTTGGAGTCAGATTCTCTGCTCCCAGGCCCCTTCCTCACCTTTCCTTTTGGTAAGACATATGTGAGGGGCACCACTCTACCCCAGGCACCACCTAACCCCACATCACCTCTGCAGGCCAGGGTGCGGCAGTTCCTTTACCTGGGACACCAGGAGGCCAGTGGGTCTGCACCCTGAGCTGCAGAATCCAGGCAGGTGGCTGCCATCTTACAGCTCGACCTTTGAGACCCACGCTGATGTATGTGTTTACCCAAGGTAGTTTTAAAATAGAATAATAAAAAAAATGTATTCAGTAAATCTTGATAACAAAGAAAACACATTTTGATTCAACACTGTGCATTAAAGTGTGAACTGTGGAATCCAGGCAGTAGATACATGGCTGATTGGCTTCCTGTATGTTTGAAATTTTTTCATAATAAAAATTTGGGAGGACTGGTTTAAAAGGGACTTGAAAAAATAGCTTTAAAATGTGTTTATGTCCCAGAGCATCTCCTTCTTTTGACCTCCCACCCGGGAACCCTGTAATTCCTGCCTCAGTTTCCCATCTTGGGCATTGGGCCAGGTTTATGCTGCCTCGTTCTTGGCTCCACACCCTCCTCTGCCATATCTGCTCTGAATGCCTGGAGGGACTGAGAAACTTCCCAGGATACAGACTTCCTGTGTTAAAACACTGGAAGTCCTGGACACCCTGGGACAGTTGGCCATCTCCTATGTTTGGGGTGATCATGACGATGATGGTTTTCAAATAGGACCGATCAGAGTCAGATCCTGATGGACTCCTGTATTTGGGCATTTGACACCCTTTCTTCTCTATAAAATGAAAGTATTGAGCCAGATGCTTGTGACAGGAATCTTGTCTCATTCGGGATTATCCAGGCTGTTTGGTACTTTCTCCTGTTTTCTTTTCAGTTGTTTTCTTTTCAATCTGTTTTCTTTTCAGCAGAACCAGGTAGGAACAAAAACCATAAAAATGTATAAGGATTAATTTTGCATTATTGATAGAGTCATTAAAAGACTTGAGAGTAAAGTTTGGAACCAGTCTTTAATATCAGTGATTTATTGATAGAATTTTTCATTCTCTCTGTATCCTAGGGTTAAAAAATTAAGATATTCATCAATTTATCACTGAATTACTTGTCAAAACGTACAGTGACAAACTGTTCATATTTTAATTATTTAATTAATAAATAAGGGTTTACTTTCATTGATAAAGTTAATTATTGCTCTTAGCTTAATCTTACTATCTTCTCAGTATCTCTTGTACGATGGGAACACCCTTTAAAATTATTAATATAGTGAAACACTCTCCTAAGTATTATTCTGGTAAATGTTTAACAATTAGCTATTGAGGGGGAGAGGATGGAGAAAGCCGTGATTTCTAGCACTCGCCAATTTCAGTGGTATAAATACTACCACCATTGCCAATTTCAAGCTAAATGGGAAAGAGACATGACTGCACTGCCAAGCTGGGCAGAGATGTGCACAATCAGATCTCCCTGGCCAATGACAGCAGCTCCACTACACCACTGCATCTTTATGCTGCAAAAAAGTAGGTCAGAGGGATGCTCCCTTATATCATAAGAACACAGATTTACTGAGCATTAAGGATGCTGTTAGATAATATTATAGTTTATGAAGCAAATTTATAAATTGATATGATGTAAAACAGCACCTTCCTCAATGGGTAATTTTGCAAGAGAGGCACGCAGCACACAACCTTTGGACAAAGCCTTCTTGGGTCTGGATCTCCCTTGGCCCTGCTAGCAGGGTTTGCCCACAGCCTCTCCTTGGTACCAATCCCTGTTAAATTACCCCATCCATTTGTTATGCTTCAGAAATCCTCGCAAAAAGGGCTGCTGTACAGACATGTTGTCATCTCTAGGCATCCATAACTGTGACAAGTGAAAAGGTCATGCCTTCAAACATTAGCATTGCAAAGAAGCCATGGTAATGATTCATTTTTTCCTTTCCACCATTACTTTAAAGGGCTGAAAATACTTGAGCTGGATAGGAGAACATGGGCTAGTCAGAGCATTTCTCTCTAAGTGCTGAATTTAATAACCAGAACAAAAATACCCATTTTAGTAGGGCACTCTTTCAAAGTAGAAATCTAAATAAAACTGAGGAGTATTGTGTGCAGATTAAGATGGGCAAGTCATAAACAAACCAGAGGTCTATGGTTTGGCCAAGGTACTTCTCTCATCAAATGCGATAAAACTTGTGATTATTTTTTTAAAAAAGGAAAAGAGAAGAAAACAAACAAGTCCTCAAAACAATGCTGCAGTTTTTGGAGAACAGTTCTTCCAGTTGGTGGTTTTAAAGTACTAGGGAATTACATTCTGGGTCAACACCAGCCTTGGAGCTCCTAGAATAGGACAGAAACCCTTACTTCAGAATTGGCTTGCTCTCATTGGAATATAGTCAGTGAGTGTTAAACTACCCTGGATTTGGGAGGTGATGATGGTGACTTACCAAGTTCTCAAAGGAAAACTGTCTGTTTTTATGTCTTACCATTTTATACATTTCCTTTTTACAAACACTGCAAAATAGGAAATCCTGACCATAGCCTTGAGATGCCCAGGAGACTGGGAGGCATTAAACATGGATTGATTTTCAGTTTTGCAACAAGAGTTTCTATATTTTATTCTAAGGATGAGGGTGTTGCAGGAATCAGGACACTCATCAGGAATTGGGGCGTGGGGGTTGATGGTAGTGGACAGGGGTCACCTTTCAAAGCTAAATTATATGTGGGTGTCATGGTTTCTGATTCACATTCCCCAGTCGTGAGAGAAAGAATGAGGAGTAAATATTTTCTTGTTCATAGGCCTGTAATTTATTTATTCACAGTTTTGTAATTTAGGTTACTTTTGTTGGCTTTGAGATCTCTAATTATCTTGAGTTAGCCTCTTTCCCGTATGAGAAAAAATCTTGATTAGTGGATTGAGGCCAAACAGAAAGTGCCACCACCTTCAGTTCCTCTGTGATGGCAGATCCATGGTGAGCCTGGGGTTTCTACAGCCAGTAAGCCTCCAGCTGTCGAGGAACATGCCAGCTCACCTTTTTATAGGTGCACCCAATCTCTACTCTTTGAGTTCCCCTGTTGAATTCAAATGGTTGAACTTAAATTGTTGAACTCAAATGGTTGAAAGGGAATGTTCTTGTTCCCTCACCATAAATGCTGAATCTTAACACCTCCTCTTATTCCCTCTTCTCTCTCCAATCTCCGGCCACAAGAGTGCAAAATGGTGCTGCCACTTGGTCAAACAGTGTGGCAGTTTCTCAAAATGTTAAACATGAAATTGCCATATAACCCAGTAGTTCCACTTCTAGGAATCTCTCCTGGAAAAAAATGAAAACATTTGTTCACACAACAGCTTATACAGGAATATTTATAGTATAATTACTCATAATAGCCCCAAAGTAGAAACAACCCCAGTGTGCATCAGTGGGTGAGTGGATTTAAAAAAATGCAGTATATCCGTGTGCTGCAATATCATTTAGCAATAAAAAGGAACAAAGTACTGTGCTATGACATGGATGAACCTTGACAACATTATGCTTAGTGAAAAAAATCCAGAAAGCTAGATACTAAAGAATACATGCTATATGATTCCATTTATAAAAAATGATCTAAAAAGGTAATACGGGTATTGTGTTAGTCTGTTCTTTTAAAGACATACCAGAGACTGGGTAATTTATAAAGGAAGGAGGCTTAACTGAGTCACAGTCCTATGCGACTAGGGAAGCCTCAGGAAACTTACAATCATGGTGAAAGGGGAAGCAAACATATGCTTCTTCACATGGCGGCAGGAAGGGGAAGTGCAGAGTAAAGGGCGGAAAGCCCCTCATAAAACCATTAGCTCTTGTGAGACCTCACTCACTATCACGAGACCAGCATGGAGGTAACCACCCCTATGATTCAATTATCTCCCACCAGGCCTCTCCCATGACACTATGGGAGACGAATTGTATTTATGGAAACTACAATTCAAGATGAGAGTTGGGTGGGGACACAGCCAAACCATATCAGGGAGAGAAGGTAGATTAGTGATTGCTTAGAACTTGAGGGGGAAAAGAGAAATGACTGCAAATGGGCAGGAGAAATCTTTTGGGGTAATGTAAATGCTTTAAGATTTGATTCAGTGATGATTATACAACTGTGTATATTTGTATACAGGTTATAATGGTATATATGTATATGTACTGGATAATATAAATATATTTGTAATGGGTTGAATAGTATCCCCAAAAATTAATGTCCCCTTAGAACCTTGGAATATGACCTTATATGGAAATAGAGTCTTTGCAAATATAATTCGTTAAGAAGAGATCATACTGCATTAGGGTAGGTCCTAAATCCAGTGACTGGTATCCTCATAAGAAGTCCATGTGAAAAGACACAGAAACATTCAAAGAAGAATGTAAATTATGTGAAGATAAGGCAGAAGCTGAAGTTTTGCCGCCACAAGCCAAGGAATGCCTGGGGCCACCAGAAGCTGGAAGAGGCAAGGAAGGGTCTTCCTCTAGAGCTCTTAGAGGGAGCATGGCTCTGTTGTCGACTTGATTTTGGAATTCCAGCCTCCAGAACTGTGAGAGAAGAAATTTCTGTTATTATAAGCCACATAGATTCTAGTAATTTGTTACAGGCACTCTAGGAAGCGAATGCAATATTAAGTGTACAACTGAATTGCACACTTAAAACAGGTGAATTTTATGGTATGGATATTATACCACAATAAAGCTATTAATAAAAATAAACATTTTTATTTA
Source organism: Homo sapiens (assembly GCF_000001405.40). Lineage (NCBI taxonomy): Eukaryota > Metazoa > Chordata > Mammalia > Primates > Hominidae > Homo > Homo sapiens. The sequence goes on along the minus strand of NW_025791814.1, from coordinate 331,152 downwards.
TTTTATAGGCTAGGGGAAGGGGGGGATCAGAACCAAAGGCTGGGGACAGTACAGCCAGTTTTGCTGCATCTCAGAAATGCCAGAAAAGGAATTTCACAACAGTTGTGAGCAACTGTCCTTGATATGCAGGACTCTTGGCACCTCTTTCTTGAGTCACCAATTTGCCTACTTTCCATCTTATTACACGGTCAGTGCTGTGGGGCACATCTCTGCCACATGGCTGCTGACTCTAGAGAAACTCCCAAATGTAGGTTCTTCTGTGGGTGTTCAGGCTACGGAACTGGTAGTATTTTGACGTTTCATTATATGTCTCAAACCTCTCTAGTAAGCCATGGGAAAAGACATGACCCAGTATGTGCCAGTCTTAGAAGAAGCCACAGTGTTTCTATGGTCAAGTACCTTGGAAGTCTTACGAGGCAAGCAATCAAGTACGTAGTCTGAGCTTGACCTCAGAAATGGGGGAAGGGAGCTTCTTCCTGTGATTGGGGAAATGAGATAAAAAGCAAATAAAAAGGTTGTTATGTTTTGATGAATTTTCAAACCTTTCTAGTCCTTTTTGTTAACATCTTGTTCCTTTATCATATTTTTAAAATATCTTTAAACATTCTTGCATAGTTATTTTGCAGTCTGTATCTGACAACTGTATCATCTGAAGTCCTGGGAGGCTGGTTCTCAATCATGGTGTTAGTTTTCTCATGTGTTCTTTAGTTTCAGTTTGTGAGCTCACGGCCAGCAGGGCTTTATCTGGGTGCATTTCAGTGGGCCTGGACAGAGGACACATTCTTCTAGAGTATGTTAGCTTTTGCTAGGCTCCTCAGGCCATTATCAAATTACGGTCACCTTCATGTTAAAGCTTTAGCATGAATTTGACTACAGACCTATGTAGAGTCAGGCCAGTTTTATAAATTCTCAGGGGAGAGATTGTTTTTCTACATATATAACACAAGCTGAGGCAGCTTTCTTCTCTCTTTGCCTTTGTGGATTTTTATTTATTGTTATTATTATTTTGGTTATATACTTTCTGTCAAGATAGAACCCTTTGAGGAGCCTGGCTTTGGAGGTCTCATATTTAATGTCATGCCTCTCAGGTAGTCAAAGCACCGCCATTATATATTACCTCTGGCTTTTCACTATCAGCTTTTGTGTTTGGTCTCTGGTTTTTCTCTCACTTTCTGATAAGCTTAGTATGCATTTTAAAAGGTGTTTGTCATATGCAGTCTACAATTTATAAGTGGCTTGTGGAATTGGGGTGGGATCTTTTGTCATCTATTGCCAAGAAAAGAAGTCTATGTATTAGACTTCTTTTAATTTTGATGTGGGAAAAGGAAACTTGAGAAGCTTCACAAATAAAGGGTTCCCTTTTCTCAGTAAATTGGAGACGAGATTCTCTGCTATAAGTTATGGAAGAAGGACAGGTTTGAGGTCTCCAGTGACTGATAAAGGTTTGCAAGGTTTATAACAACTGTGGGAGATGGGCATTGTGAAAAGTGGTTACAAGGACTGGTTAGCAGCAACAAGGGATTCACCTAAAGTTGACTAAAAGTGGAAGTTTTATCCCCATTGTTTATAATGATAGTTAGAAACCAGTAACATCATTGTATTAGTCCGTTTTCATGCTGCTGATACAGACATGCCTGAGACTGGGCTGTTTACAAAAGAAAGAGGTTTAATGGACTTACAGTTCCATGTGGCTGGGGAGGCCTCATGACCATGATGGAAGGCGAGGAGGAGCAAGTCACATCCTACATGGTTGGCAGCAGGCAAAGAGAGAGCACTTGTGCAGAGAAAATCCCATTTTTAAAACCATCAGATCTCATAAGACTTACTCACTATCATGAGAACAGCATGGGAAAGATCCGCCTCCATGACTCAATTACCCCCCACCAGGTTCCTCCCATGAAACATGGGAATGAATTATGGGCATACAATTCCAGATGAGATTTGGGTGGGGACACAGCCAACCCATATCAATCATTCTGGGTGTGCTAAGGGACATAGGCCATAGCCCTCAACAGGGTTGGAAGAGCAACGTGCCGTGGATATGAAACGGCATGGCAATTTCTGCTGAGGGCTCACTTACTCAAGTTTCATTTTTCTGGTGCCTTTCCTTTATTTTGCTCGAGATTCTCATGCAGCAGTTTCTTGAATAAATTTCATTTTGAAGAAATATCTCTTGAAGCATGGTTTACCTGAGTGTTTTGCCAGGGAAAATCAAGAACCCTGCTTTGCTGAACAAGTTGTGTCCCTTTTGCTTTTTCAGTTCCTGCGATGATAACATCCTATCCAAATACTACCCTGGCCACGCAGGGGCAGAAAAAGGAGATGAGCTGCACGGCGCATGGTGAGAAGCCCATTATAGTCCGCTGGGAGAAGGAGGACCGAATCATTAACCCTGAGATGGCCCGTTATCTTGTGTCCACCAAGGAGGTGGGAGAAGAGGTGATTTCTACTCTGCAGGTAAAAGCATGGCAAATACAACACAATGGAATGAACTTTATTGGAAGAATAAGTCTTTCCTTTCACAGAAGCGGGTGCAGATAAGTAGCAGATAATCTTTCGGAATTTATTTACGAAGCACTATTTCTCTCCCCTTTCACACAGCGAGATTAGTGAAGTAGCCTTCAAAAATAGTGCTTCAGCCTAAGTGTTATTAAGAATAGGGTTATTATGAACGCAGCAGGGAACCCAAATGTAGTAAAAAAAAAAAAAAAAAGTGAGAAATAAGGTTTTTAAATGACAGTTAATCCTTCAGGAATGATGGCCTATGCTGTGTGCATGTTTTAACTTCCTGCAAAAAGAAAAATGAGATGGGCTTTGGGACAAAAATATTATCATAAAAACTATCTTGCTTCTTTGGAAAAATCCACAATAAAAAAAAAATCTGTCGTTAAAAGAGGATCACAAAAGCTAGAGAAAAGGACTGTGAGCAGTGAACTGGTTTGTGCTGTTGTCATGCGGTTGGAGGATGATACTGTAGCACACACAGGGTGGGGAGGTGGGGAAGCCCTGTGTTTGAAATGCTTATATTGGCTCTCAGACAAGGGTCCATTCCTGGAATCCTCCTAGAAAAGGAATCTGATGCGAGTCTTGCGGGCCCCCAGCCCTGCCTGCAGTATTTAATCTGTCTCTTTAGGCATGGTTGCTTTGGATACCATGAAAAAAAAAATGTATATGTGGGATATATGTCAAGCTGACCACGACATCTTATATAAATTACACATCCAATTTAATGAGCTACACCTGACATGGATAATGTACGTGAATCCTATCCATCCGCCTACTTTCAATTACACTGAAATAATTTGTCCTCAGAGGGATACGTGCATGTGTGTGATTTAGTATGTGAGTCTGGAGGAATGGGGGTTTTGTGAGTGTGTGTGTGTGTGTGTGAGTGTACCTATGTGTGTGCTTGGCATGGCAGGAGAACTGAAAGAGTGGAGAGAGAGAGCTTTACGGCTCAAAGTCATTTTGCCTACTGAAAAAGATGAATTTCTTTCTGCTTTACACATAGATTTTGCCAACTGTGAGAGAAGATTCTGGTTTCTTTTCCTGCCATGCTATTAATTCTTATGGGGAGGACCGTGGAATAATTCAGCTCACAGTGCAAGGTAGGAAGACGATAGCGTAAGAGAATAAACACAGTCATTTCAGGATGGGAGCTGTATGCTCAGCCTCAGGCATCTCTGTGTCCTCAACTTGCCATGTAACACTTCCTAATTCCCAGGAAATTTTGAATATGTATAATGTCAGTGCTAAAGCAGAATTTTGCAGTGCCTGGGATTATGTCAAAGTAAAGCCCCCAAACAGGGAACGAAGCCCTTAGAGGAACCAGTCAAGATGACAAGCCCATGACAGTCAAGCCACATGCACACAAGTACAGCGGTGGAATTTCTTTGCTCAATTTTAGGAATCCATGTACTAGATGACCAGAATGAAAGGGAAGTTTAACATTTGGGGCCAAAATATGTTTTGAGTTAGAGATCCAAACTAGAATCGTGACATTTTATATCCTCCAGGCTTGGTCCAGTTCTTAAGGGCTATGAAAATTGGAAGTCTTGGGAAAGTGGAATTTCTCTTCCCTAAAATGTGATTAGGAAAAAGAAAATGCTTCCAAATAAAAAGCTTCTGTTCTTGTCTAATGCAGACAAATCGTTTGTGAGTCACGCTCAGCATTTCCACTAGCGTTTTATGTCAGAGCTCTGTTTGAACTAACTCGTAGTCTTTCTGTTGATGGCACAGAGCCCCCAGACCCTCCCGAAATTGAGATCAAAGATGTCAAAGCACGCACAATTACGCTCAGGTGGACCATGGGGTTTGATGGAAACAGTCCCATCACAGGCTACGATATTGAATGCAAAAATAAATCAGGTAAGTTCTTTACTTCCTCCAGCTTCCCTTCCACCTCAGAAAGTTCTTTTATTTTTCTCCTTATTAATGTGTTTTACCTGTAAGCGCACAGCTCAGCTCACAGGAGCTCAGAGGGCACCACTTCCCCCAGTCTCCTTGCTGGAAGCACATCCTGGCTTTCTGCTGTGGGAGTGGAGTTTCGTGTTGAGGCTCAGCTCTGCTTCTTTCTTTTTTAGCCAGCCCAGACTTCAGTCTTGCTTCCTGCTGGACTCCTTGATATTGCAGCTTCCTGTTGGCATGTGGGCAGTGGCTGATGGAGACAGGCCCCCACCATGACCTTTTCTATTTCACCTGCTCCCTTCACTTCCCGTTTCCCGAGCTGGGTGACTTTTGTAGAGCCTGAGCCCATGTCCTGCACCCAGAGCGTTGAGCTCAAGCTGTGCTTGGTGTTGGTCGGATAAACTGTGCAGTGGTGGTTGGTGCAGAAAAAGGAAAATTCACTCTGGAGCAACCTCCTGGAAATGCTCAGGGACCATCGGCGACACTGGCTGCTGCACCCAGGACCACTCGGCCCAGAGCCCATAAATAAAACTGACCCTGCTGCCAGGGCCGCTGCAGGTGTGCCCATTCATTGCCTTCAAGGAACAATGCCCGGGCCATTTTGAACTTTATGATGCATTGGGCGAGGGTAGAATACCACCACAGTGGCCTCTAGTCAGAATTTTTACTGTGTCTCATAAAAGATATGAGGAATTCGAGCACCACCAGCATGGGAAGGGTTAATAAAATCCTTCTAGGCCGCAAAAGCAGCTTTATTTTTCACTTCCTGGATACCGCACGTTATTTCAGATTACCCAGTTGTGACCCATCTAATATCTTTGGCACTAAAGCTGTAGTAAAAAATCAAGCTCAAGGCAGCTGGGAACCACAGGTCAGGAGTGAGGAAATGTTTCAGCAAGAGCAAGCCAGGAACAGAGCCAGGAAATGGTGACTGCAAAGGCAAGCCGAGGGGTGACTCTTCGGGAATTCAGGAGAACAGAATTTGAAGATTGAGAAGATATGGATCAAAACAAAAAATAGTGTTTTGAAAAGTAGTATCTGTGACTGCTGGGTTGGAAATGCACATGAGGAAAGATGGAATGGCTCAGGTCATCGGCCTCTGAGTTGCAACTGGGGGCCTAGAAGTGAGGTGTCACTTACACAAAGTCTGAGGAAGGGCCTTCCGGGGTTGATTGGACTGCAAGTCTCACCGTAGCCAAGAAATGCTGCAGAGCCAGGGCCCTGGGCTCAGGGGTGAGGCACAGTGACCTGGGGGGCTCACCCAAGACAGTGCTGAGCTGAACAAGCATCTTTTGGGGACTAGGACCAACAGGTTTCCCAAGGGCCCAGGGAGGAGAGGCTGACCTTGCCTTTCTTACAAGTTCATGTATACAGGTCTTGAAGTGAAGCAAATGCTTCTTAGGTGAGGCAGGCACATTTGAGCAGAAACTGTCCTGGAACTTAGTGACAGTGATGAGAGCTCAGACAGATGCAGTGAGCACCGTGGGGACAGGGACAGCCCTTTATCTCACTGGCTGCGCACTGGCTATGGGGCTGCAGGCTGCCCATGCTGTTGGTGCGGGAGCACACAGGAGACCTCTCCTACTGGAGCAGCCCAGGACCTCCCCTGTCCTCATGGAGGAGCGGGCATTGCCGGATGCTGGTGGCAGGCCTGGGCTCAGTGATTTGGGACCCAGCCTGTGTGGGATTCGCTGCTGGGCCTGCGTTGCACCAGCTCTGCACCCTCGCTTGCGCATCTCACCTGTGAAGTGGGCACTGCTGCATCCACCTCAAAGGACTGGCAAGGAGACCACAAAGGCCACCAGCTGCCCTCTGCCTGGAGTCCTCCCTTCCCTGAGCCACCCAGTTACTACCCCCTCCATAGATCTCAATTCTCAGGTGCTCACCCAGCTCCTTCTCCCTTTCAATCTGGGCAGGTGGCATTATGGGTCACTATATATGTATCTCTATGATTACTGACAAATATGCTGATTAATGCATTTCACCTCCACCACGCTAGAGGCTCCTTGGGGGCTCCCTGCACCTAGTAGGTCTATTTTCACCCAGCTCATTTCTCCAACACCCAGCACCGCACCCAACATGTGGAGACACTCAATGGAAATTGGTGAACTCTAAGAAGGGAAGACATTGAAAACGCCTTCCTCGTTGTCTGGAGCATACTCAACATCTAATAGGTGGTAGCTTGTAGATTGCTCCAGCATGCAGGAAAATACTTAGGAGTAAAATGCCTCTAAAACCCTCTGTGTTAAACTACTTACTCAGCATCTAAGTGTCCTCACTATCTCCCTACTCTTACCCAGGAGTTTCCCAAAGGCAGGGACTCTGGTTCTCTGTGTCCTGGGATCCCCAGCACCCAGCACAATGTCAAGTGAAGAGCATACTGTAAATGTTTATTGCATTAATTTACATGCAATTGAAATCTAAGAATCATTATTATCAACAGCATCTTTAAATGTATAAATTGATCATGGTTTATATAACCAAAGCAGGAAAGCTCCTTGTCTATAAAGCTGAGTACAGGCGGGATTGAGGGATACTCTTTTCCATCCTTCATGCCCTACTTCAACCAGAGACAGGGCCAGTGGTGTGGCTAAGATGTTTATGTAGCCCTGGAGCAAGTCATTTTAAGGGGCAGCATGGGTCCCAGGAGAAAAGCCCACAGGACAAGCAGATCCAAGTCCATGACCAAGGTCTCTACCAGGACCCTACAGAACTTCAATTACTTTCAGTTTGGAAGCCCTGGGAGGAAGGAGCTGTGCTGAGAGTAGATAGCACCTGTACTCACTGCTGTACGAGTTGTGTTAGTCAGATTTTTCATGTATTAGTTTCTTCCTCCAGAAATTTTTGGTGTATAAAAATTACAACCATAATTTAAGTGAGTGTAGTTTTAGACTGAGTACATAGAAAACTGATCCTTCAAGTATTAATAACAGCCTAAATGTCACTTCTTCCAGGAAGCCTTCCCTGACTACCTATTCCCCTTCACTATTCATAGCATGTCTTGGAACACTTGGTGGGCTTGTGACTATTAATTTACTATCTGCACCCCACTGAACAGTTGTCCCCCTATGGGCCATAGTGAGCCCTGAGGGCTGGAATTGTCTCTGACAAACCTTATGCTATGTCCCTGTGCCCCTCATAGTGCCTGACATGTATACGAGACTCATAATAACCATTAGTCAAATTGTTGACTCTCAACATCTGTTTTAGGCAACGGTGAAATTATCCCCCCAAAAGTTTTCCTTTCCTTTTCATTAATTTTCAAAGAAAGCAGCATATAACCAATGTATTAAAGTACTTCACATTCGTAACAGAAAGAACTTCTGCAAGTGACCATTCACTCTATGCTTGAACAATCCGAGAAACAGAAACTCACTAACCCAGGGAGCACAGCTCTGCCTTTGGCCAGCTGTGACTGCTACAAGTTCTTACATTTATTGCACCAAAATAGACCTTCCTGGATCCAGTGTCTCTCCTCCCACCTCTTAACCCTTTGGCCAAATGACAGTCCTCCCAGGATTTGACAACAGATGACTTTCCTTGGTTTACTCTTTTCCAGGAAACACTGAACACCCCAAGTCCTTGTTATTGTATCTCCTGTCATCATCTCCTGCCCCCCTAACTCTGGTCATGCCCAGTGGCAGCACCAGAGGCGTCATCTGAGCGGGCACAGGCACAGTGAAGCTGTCCCTTCCTTATCTGGAACATTCTTCTTCTCCCATAGGTGGCAATTACACAGGTTGCCTTGGTTGCCATATTTTCTGATTCCCAGGGACTACTGCTTCTCCCCTACAAGGACCCAAGGCCACCTTTAACATCCCTTCGAGCATATTGTCTGGGGACCTCCAGCAGATTCGTCTGCAGTTTGTTGCCTCCCTTTATTCCCTTCCTTGGAAGGCAGCCTGCCCTTCAGAGTCTGTTCCTGTGGGGGCCATCTCCTGTCCGCAGGTTCTCTTGTTGCCTCTCCTGTCCACGGTTTCTCTGGTAACCCCCCCCGTCCACGGTTTCTCTGGTAGCCCCCTCCTGTCCACGGTTTCTCTGGTAGCCCCCTCCTGTCCACGGTTTCTCTGGTGGCCCGTTCTGTCCACGGTTTCTCTGGTAACCCCCCCCGTCCACGGTTTCTCTGGTAACCCCCTCCTGTCCACGGTTTCTCTGGTGGCCCGTTCTGTCCACGGTTTCTCTGGTAACCCCCCCCGTCCACGGTTTCTCTGGTAGCCCCCTCCTGTCCACGGTTTCTCTGGTGGCCCGTTCTGTCCACGGTTTCTCTGGTAACCCCCCCCGTCCACGGTTTCTCTGGTACCCCCCTCCTGTCCACGGTTTCTCTGGTACCCCCCCCCGTCCACGGTTTCTCTGGTAGCCCCCCCGTCCACGGTTTCTCTGGTAACCCCCCCCCGTCCACGGTTTCTCTGGTAACCCCCCCCTGTCCACGGTTTCTCTGGTAACCCCCTCCTGTCCACGGTTTCTCTGGTGGCCCGTTCTGTCCACGGTTTCTCTGCTGGCCCCTCCTGTCCACAGTTTCTCTGGTACCTCCCTCCTGTCCACGGTTTCTCTGTTGGCCTCTGCTGTCCACAGTTTCTCCGGTGCCTCCGTCCTGTCCACAGTTTCTCTTGTCCCTCCCTCCTGTCCGTGGTGGCTCACAGGTCTCTGACCAGGTTTCAGCACCATGGCAAGCTCTGTCACACCCTGAAAGGTAACCAGGAAACACAGACTCTGACACAGAAGGTGCACACCCCAACCCCTCTCCTCTCTTGGTCTTCCCACCCCTAGTTCACCCTGAGGACTGTTATCCTTGAGAAGAATAAGACAGAGAACAAGGGGCTCTCCTGTGTCCCCACACCTCCTCCTATTCACCAACATGAAGGGCCCGCTCCCTCTCCCAGCTACCTCTCCATTGTTAAACCTTTCATGTAATTCACCTCCAGAACTTTCAGTCACCTTCACTCATTCTGGTCTTTAGCCTCTAACAGCACTTCTTCATACCAAGTCCACTCTCTTATATTAGTCCTTGTTGCTCTTGCATCCACTGGATTTGGGGTATCTGACCCCCAAGGCGAGCTCCCCAGCAAGCACCCAGCGCAGTCTCACTGGCTCCTGTCAGCTCTTCACTCCTTCCTCACCTCACAGAGGCTGCAGTGGGACTCTGAACTGCCCCATCCTCCTACACCACCAGTCTCCCTGGAGCAAGCCATGGCATCCCGCCCACTCTTTCGTGAATGCTTCTGACATCTTCCTAAACCAGGCTGCAACTCCGAGCCTATACAGCCCTCTCAGTCTTCCTACAAACCCACAGATGGTACAGTCATTCTTGGCCAAAGTTTTCTTCTCTTACATTTGACCAAACGATTTCTGTGCATTGTCAAGTCAATAATTTGCCAGAAGGTCTTCTTCTAGGCATACGAGATTTTCAGCAGGTGCCCGGAAATATCAAAATCCTGTCTTATTAGGTGTTTTCAGAGAGTATGTGGAGGTCATGCATTACAGAAAAATGACCTTGAACTTGGAGATAACACAGGCGAGGCCAAATCCCAGCCCTTCTTGTTACCAGCTATGTAACAGGGCTTGAGTTTCTTGACTTTCACTAAGGAAATAAAAACCTTACCTTGACAGGATGTTGTACAATTTTAATCAAATGAAGCAGTCTGTCCAAACTATACATCGGAATGACCAAGATAGGGAGCCTTTTTAAAAGCACAGGTTTCTGGGCACCATTCCCCAGAGACTCTGGTTTGGTAGGTCTGAAAGCAGAATTATCAAAAAGCCCCAAGGTGTTTCCAATGTGCCCACAGATTTGGGGCCACAGAAGTCACGTTTGAAAATGCCCAGCACATTGACCTGATGGGAGGAGGAAACTGAAAATTGAGATATAAATATAACTAGGAAGAATGCACCATTGACCCAATAAAAAAGTTCTTAGGCGTAAAACACAAACAGAAATGTATGCATGGACATCCAAGATCTGAAAAGTGGCAAGTGTGACTGGGGAGAGTCTGGGAAGGCCACGGACAGGAGGGTGAGGATGGGCTTTGTAACGGGTCCCCCAGCCCATTGGAGGGAGTTAGTGGTAGTTGCTACAGACAGGGTGCAAACGCAGCATCAGAGAGGATTTATAAGTCACACTGGGAGACTGTTGAACAAGGTGACATCACTGAGATAGGGGCTGAGCTAAAGGAACCTATAGGGCATGGATGTGGAGGTGCCCAGTGACCACCAAGAGGGGACTGTCCCCACCCTACCCAGGTCCACCATATGCCTTGGATTGGTGTAAGGGACTGCAGTCATGGACACTCATATGCCTCTCCAGGCTGCCTGCCAACTCCCAGACAAGAGCCTCCAGTGAAGATGGCTGTATCTTCATTGGCCCCGTCAGTTTCAGAAACTTCAATGTTGCCTGGGCAGAGGCATCAACCACCACAACTGCCTACTTCCTCCAGGGGCTACTTAGCAAATGTCTCTGCATCTTGTGGCACCTGGCATTCCTCCTCATCCTCCTAAACATCTCTGCAGAAGGTCTGGCTTTCTCTCTGTGGGACAAGCCTCATAGGTGTGTGCCGTTTCATTGATATAAAATTTCCTCTCCTCATTTGTCTTCCATTGAATCCCATTCTTCCCCTTGTCAATTTTTTTCCAACTCTTTGTATTTCATGTTTTTCCACCTCTAATCTTCTTGACCCCAAATATGCTTTTTCCTTCTAACTGCAATATTCATTGTCAGATTCTATTAGGCTTCATTCTCTGAGAAGTTACAGTATCCAAAAGCAGTCTTTAAGCCACATATTTTTTCTTCAATTCCAGAAAATCTCTTGCATTTATGTTTAACTCTGGACAGAGAAGTCCCCTAAACTGCCATACTCACCCTTAGTGTGACAAAGTGATTGGCCCCATTCCCAAGACTCAGAGGTCCATGTATTTGTGGTTTATTTGTTCCTCTATTAAACATTCATGTACTATTTGTCTACTATGAGCCAGGCACTGTGCTAGCACTAGGGATAAAAGACTGGGTATGGCCAGCATGGCCTCTGCCCTCCTGGAGCTTAAAGTCTAGCAGGGAACACAGATTCAGATTATCCATGGAAGACTTACTTGTGTGGTGAGCACCACCAAGGCAGACCCTGAGGAGGGTGGGAATATGTAGGCACCATCTCTGTCTACTGTCTTGGGCCCTCCTTTTTTCATCCCCAGCCAATACCAGCTGTCGACCACACACCTACAGTCAACAACTGCCCAAACTCTTTTGATATAAGAACCACGTATTGACATTCTCATCCTTGCTTGAAGCCTGAAAACCACCAGATACAAAATGTCACAGATTCAGTGATAACATTTCACACAAAGTAGGTGCTGCTGTTATAATTAGCTGTGGTTGAAAAATAATTCCTACAACCAAGGATTTGGCACTAAATGATTTCAAAAAATAGAACTGAAAAAATATGTTTGGTAATCAGGATTTATTCTGGAACTTGAGATTGGTTTGTATGGGATTATCTTGTTTTTACCACACTCTATTTGGGGAGGAAAGGATCTGATATGGCTTGAAGTTTTGCTGGTTTTCAAATGCCAGGGATTTTGGGGGGGCCCAGGGGTACTATCCAAACCATAGTTCATTGTACTGTCCTATACAATGAGTGCTTACAGTGGCCATCGTCCATTCCACTAACCTGAGCTTCCACCACTGGAATTTGCCTTCTGAGATCTCCCCCAGTCGGCTGATCTGTGCTTCCTCCATCACCCCTCCCTGAACTCAGCTGGCTTGTTGCCCCATGTCCCTCGCAGCGTGAATAATGTGTGTGGGATGTCACATCCCCTCTGATGGCCAACTCTGCCAGAAAGCTGGGAACATTGCATTCAGAAATCACTTTGAGTGTAATTTTTCTTTCTTTCCGTCTTTTTTTTTTTTTTTTTTTTTTTTTGGTTTTTAATTCCTACTTGTGAACTTTCAAAGGCAGAGGAAAAAAACTCACGTCTCTATCTCTTCTTTTTTGAAAAACAAAACCCAAAAGACTCCTGGGATTCTGCTCAGAGAACCAAAGATGTTTCCCCTCAGCTGAACTCGGCCACCATCATTGATATCCACCCTTCCTCCACCTACAGCATCCGCATGTACGCCAAGAACCGGATTGGCAAGAGCGAGCCCAGCAACGAGCTCACCATCACGGCGGACGAGGCAGGTACGTGGGACCGGGCGGAACCTTGCTCCAGAGGAGCCCGGGAGCTAACTCTTGAGGGCTCAGATGCTTAAATGCAGAAGCAGACCTTTGCCCGTGCTAGGCGGAGGTCTTTGATGCGTGCTCTCCGTAGTTCTGTGCCCTATAAAAAACGCAGACAGCGCTCTGCATCTTACTTTGAAGGCACTGCTCTTCAAATAGGATTTAGTTCAAGTTTCCCATACCCAAGACTTAAAAGAAAGACGTATGAGGCTAACAATCTGGTGAGATTCAAAGAATCATGCCGTTTTACAATTCCTTTGTTTGGACACATGGAATCCAGGTTGACAGGAGAACCGTGAGTGTGTTTCTTTCCTGAGACCCTGTGAAGTCCAGTGTGGGAGGAAGCAGTAATGCTTAACTAGGAATCTGCAAGCATGCTTACTGTGCGGGAGATGTGGGAAGGGGAACAGATTATTTTATTGACTAGAAACATCAATATTTAAAAATAATGTTTTTGCTCTTTTTTCTATTACAAACAACATTATATTTAGTGTTGCAAATTCAGAAGATAGAGATAAGCATTGTGGAGAAGGCAAAACAGCTTCCATCATTTTCCCACTGAGAGCTAACCCAGGAACAGGCAGTGATAACTGGCTAAATAATTTCATCACCCACACACGCACATGCACACAGGCACGCACCAGTGTATTCACACCCCTTAACACACTGCGAGCCACTCATGTTTCCGGGGGGGTGAAATTAACAGGTGTGCAGAGAACTGAGCAATCAGGCAATGGTCCATGAATGCTGATTGTCAGCCCGCCTCCTGGCAGGAGGAGAGGAAGCCACTGCGCTTGGGTTTCATCCACAAGGATTGCATGCCTGGCCCATTTATTGTAGGGAAAGGGTGTCCAGCTCCCAAACCTACCTCTTCTTTTCCTGCCCACCATCAGAGCAATCAGCCACTCCCTACTGCAGGGAAGATGGCAGCTTAGTCTCAAGTCCCTGTTTCTCCATCACCAAGATTAAGGTGATTGCCACACCCAGATGGCTAACAGAAGACCGGAGGTTTGTTGCAACTTTCAAGAGAGGTTGATCTTGGCTTCCTTCCCACCACCTCATCTCTGCTACCCTCATTAACAGCATCCCAAATATAAATGGAGCTTATGTATCTCTTAAGTACTTTTCTACAATTTGTAATGATATCTCTCACTATGTGTTTAACAAATCTCATATTGCCAAACGGGTCAATTATTTTCGAGTTTTCATTAGTATAAACACCACTACAATGAACATCCTGGTGGTATGTCTTTTGCTATCTCCAAGATCATTTTCTTAGATTAAATCCTAAGAAGTCAGATGGCTGGATCAATCAAATGCAACATTTTCACCCTTCTGATATCTGTAATCAGTGTTGTCTTCAAGAGAATAGGTTAAAATGTACAACTCTTCCTGAACTGCAGAGGAATGCCCATTTTTCAATGCTGGAAGATGTCAGTTCTTGAAAATTGTTTTCAAGAGTGAGTGACAGAAGATCTTTAGGCTGAAGTGCCTGAGAGTGAGCCATTTCTGAGACTTGGATTCTCTGTATGATTTCTCATCTGCAAAATGGACATTATGATGCCTTTCTGCTCCTTACACAGACATATCTGATCACTGAAAAAAACTCAAGCTCTGAAAATACTTTGCATGTCTCAGAAATAAGTGGGAAATAAGTGTTAATCTGCTTCTGCAAAAAATAGAATTGTATTTAATTATGTATGTAAACAACCCACTAACTTCCTCAGATCCCTGAGATTTCATTATGCTGGGTACTTAGGGAGAATAAGCTGTCCCCATCCTTCAGCCCAAAATGTCATCTCTGACTTCCTGCTCAATCTTCTCCTTCTCTCTCAAGCCCTTTTCTAATCTCGCCCCATCCCAGCCACCTCCTCGGGAAAACAGCATTTTTCCGGTGGTGCATTTTGCACCTGCTTTTCTGATTGCCATTATTAATGCTGCTGTTGTTGCTTTTTTCTTCGTTTCCTCTGTGACCTCTGCTGCGGCTGGCAGTTGCCATGGAAGCAGCTCTCTCCCTGCCAGAAGGCCAGGTGAAGAGCCTCTGGGGTGCTGGTCTGCAGGGCAGCTGCCTGGCATGTCTGCAGACAGATGCAGATGCTGCCTCTTTGGCTCCCAGGCTGGCCTTTTGTATTGTATCTGGGTGTGCTGGCTGTGGCAGCCCCACACAGCCCCTCTCCTTTAATATTCAGAGGAGCTAAGGGGAAGGGAAGGAAAGGAGCAGGTTCTAGAAATGAAAAGCTACAGCAGATAACTTGTCTTTGTCTTGGTTCATAGGTTTGCATGACTGAAATTAAAAAGTCAATTTCCCATGTGTGACTTACCTAGAATGGGGTGCTCTGGCCAAAGGCATCCTCATTAGAGTATTGAGCAGGGGCTGTAGACACTGCTGCCCCTTCCCAGCAGGTAAACCCAAAGGCACATCTTTTTAGGAGCTGTAGCTGTCTTGAGGTGACCTTGTCCCACTGTTCCCTTATTCCTCATATGGGAGCCTCCGGAAGCTGTCAGCCCACTCACTTTTACTGTAATCTAGTACCCAAGTCTTGGGCACACGAGGATGCCCCCCAATGCTACTACTTTGCAATGACACTTAGTGACTCCCCAGAGCCCAATGCCCAGCACTCACCTGCCTTTGCATGCTCCCAGACCCCTATTGTTGTGCTTCTTCCCCTGTCTTGAAGGCACTACAAGTTCCATGTCTCCTTTTCTGTGCCCTTCCTTGAAAAGTCAAGTTCAAGAATGCCTTCCTCCCTGGTGCAATGCCTTTTTCCATCTCCCATGTGTAGTTAGGGACTACTCAGCTCAGGACAGAGGAGGGATTTTGCTGACAGTAGCCTTTGAGGTGTATCATCATGTCTTCATGGACCCTGCTGTCCATGATGATATACCACCTGATGTGGAGGGGCTGTGGCCCCCTCCACATCAGGGGGCATATGTGCTTACAATTCTGTCCCTTGTGTGTGTCTGGCATAAGGGAGATGAAAGTATGAGATGAACGTTTATAAACATTACCCACAGTATTGCCTTTAGAATGGGTGTCACAATGAGCAGAGTATGTGTGTGTGCGTGTGTGTGTGTGTGCGTGTGTGTGTGTGTGTGTGTGTGTGTGTATGTGTGTGTTGAGAAAATATATGCTGGATTAAACCCACAGTGAAATTCTGAAGGGTGCCCTGGTCTGAATGTTCATGCCTTCCCTTTCAAATGAATATCCTGAAACCTAATTCCTAATGCAATAATATTAAGAAGTGGGGCCTTTAGGAAGTGAGGGTGGACCCATCATTAATAGCATCAGTATGCCCTTATACAATAGGCCCAAGGCCCAATAAGATCACTTACCCCTTCTGCCCCGGGAGGACATGGGAAGAAGGCACTATCTATGAACCAGAAGAATGAGCCCTGACCAGACACCAAATCTGGCATCTTGATCTTGGAATTGTCAGCCTCTAGAAATAAATTTCTGTAAGAAATAAACTTCTGAGCCAGGCACGGTAGTTCACGCCTATAATCCCAACACTTTGGGAGGCTGAGGCAGGGGGATCACTTGAGGTCAGGAGTTCGAGACCAGCCTGGCCGACATGGCTAAACTCCGTCTCTACTAAAAATACAAAAAAAAATTAGCCATGCATTGTGGCACATGCCTGTAATCCCAGCTACTTGGGAGGCTGAGACAGGAGAATCGCTTGAACCCTGGAGGCGGAGGTTGCAGTGAGCCAAGGTCGTGCCACTGCACTCCAGCCTGGGCAACAGAGTGAGACTCCTTGTCAAAAAAAGAAACAGAAATAAATAAACTTCTGTGGTGTATAAGTCATGCAGTTTAGAGTACTTTGTTATAGCAGCCCCAAAAGACTAAGACAAGGACTTCATGCAGAAAAGTAGAGAAAGGTGAAAGATAGGACAGGAAGGCTGAGAGGAAAGAAGATGGGGAAAGAATACAGCCCCCATCAGAGCTCCAGTGACCACCCATGAAATGGCTGCATCTGGAGCTTGAGGTGCCCTCCCCGCATCCTGATGGAATAGGGCATGTCCCAGGCCATAAGCTGCAGCCCACGACAGACCAGGCCTGTGGATGTGAGTCGGCTCAGTGTTGTGCGAAACTTTTAAATTCGATGTTAATTTTTAAAATCTGGAAATTTCAGCTGAAAATCTAAATTTTGAGTTCCTCTTGAGTTCCTGCTTGGCAGCAATGAGCTGGAGTTAAGCATGGAGTGGCCATCCCAGAGGCTGACCATACCCCCTCAGTGAGCCATAGTTCCCATCCTCCATTCATTGAAGGATCAGCAAACTACAGTCGGTGAGCCAAACTTCACCTACAGACCTTGAACTAAGCATAGTTTTTTCATCTTTAAAAAAAAAAAAAAAGAATAACATGGGCCCATAAAGCCCAAAATTTGTACTATCTGAGTCTTTACAGAAATGTTTATGGATCTCTGATGAAGTCTGGCCACCATGGGAATTTGAGTTTTAGATTTCTGCTGTATCTACTGCAAAGCTTAGTGAGGAAGGGATTGCTGCCACTGGCATAGTGTCCCTACCTAATGTTGGGAAATCTCATTGCTCCAACCCCAAACTACTCAGTTTATTTGCATGTGTTGCATGTGAAAGTGCATAAAGCGTTATCATACCACTTTAATACACTCGACCTCAGAGAATAGCCATGAAGCCAAGACCACACCATTCAGCGCAGTCTTCATGGCTTCCCCAACCACCCCTAGCACCAGCAGCCCCCACAACAAAGGAGCAGTCAAGAGAATAAGTGACACAGTCGGAGTTAATGAGATGAGCTGTTAATGGACCCGAAGTGTGTCTCTTTGACACGGATCAGCCACGTGACACATGACATTCACAGCTAACCCTTGCTACAGACCAACTTCCCCATTAGCAGCTGCCCCCTGCAGGTCATGAGTCACTTAGTGCCTTGTGACCGAGTTTGGGATGGCTGCCCCCTTCATTATTTTCACTATAAATCTGTGCATAGAACATGCAGCTTCAATTAGTGGGTGCTCATTGAAACACCACTGAATTTGACAGACCATCAGAGAATAGAAGGTGTGGATTATGGAAGGGTCATGATGCAGAGTCACTGGGTTTCCAATGAATCTGGCACTGAGTTAAGTCCTTGCCTCATCTTTCCTCCCATTCCGGGGCAGCAGCTGTGATCTGGAAGAAGAGTTTCCTATGTGCTGAGCTGGGGTGGAGGGGAGAGGATGGAATGAGGGCAGAAGGAATAAAAGTCAGGAGCATGTGAAGCAAACACAGGGCTAGCAGTGCTCATTAGTGCAGAGGGCGGCATCAATGTGTTCTTCAGTAAGAGTCAAATGCACAGCATTCACTCAGCGAGAAGAGCCGAGCACACCCCATGACCAACCAGGCCCTCAGCGATCTGCCTCTGTAGATTTTTGTCATTCTCCTCCATCCTGGGTTTGAAGAAACTTTGGGAATTAAATCTAAAGAAAGTTATCGGCCTTCTTGCTGTCCCTCATACACATTGTGTATACCCCTGTCTGCTATCCTGAAAGGTTCTGGAACAGTTCTGGAATGTTCTGAAATGTTCTTCGTCTCTTCCCTTACCACTTTCAAATATTATTCTCCAAGAATCCAATCCTGGCCACCCTATTAAAATTCAACCCACTGCCCACTCCACTGGGTCCCCTGCCTCCCTTACCACTCTCCTTCTAGCAGTCGCTTGTATCAGCACCCAGTGTACTGTATAAGTTGTTGATTTATTTTGCTTATGGTCTGCTTTGATCCCATCCCACCAGGGCAGGTGGAGTTGCTTGTTCTGCTCACTCACTGCTGTATCCCAGGCACCTAGATTGGTGTTTAGCACATAGGATGTGCTAATTAAATAAGTAGGTTAAATAAATCAGCCATTTATTTAATAAGTAGTTATTACATGACTTCAGCCTTTCCCCATCTGGGCACCAGCTATTCTTTGTCGTATTTTGATTTTTACTAAATACTGTCTTGGTTCCCTTTGTCCAACACAGAGCATGCCTCTCGCCCACCCACCCAACTCCTGTAGAAGACAAACGTGTGTTTGTAGAATTATGCAGCTGCTCCTCACTACTTTTTAAAAATTTATATATTTTTTTCTGCTTTTGTATCCCAGTCTTTGCCTAGTTTAGGACCTGGCACATAGAAGGCAAATCTCCCAATCAGAACCAGAGGCAAAAATGTGGGACTGGTTCTCACTGGGGTGATTGAGCCCATATCAATTAATGATGAGGCCCCAAGATGCTGGCTAAAGCCAAGATATTGAGACAGGGAGGAGAGTATTTTGGAGCAGAATGGAGCACCGAGGCTTGAGTCTCAGCTCTGGGAGGGACACAGGAGCTGCTGGGCAGTGGGAGGTTGTCCAGCTGGGGAGGGACAGAAGCAGAGACAGCGTAGCCAGGAAGGATCAGGACAGGGAAGCAAAGCGGAGATCCATGCGTTTGGCAATCAGGAGGTGCCTGTCATCCCTGTGTTTTCAGCCAAACAGAATGAATTGTCCTGACTTTTACCTTTGCAAACATAATACAAATTATAAAGATAGTCTTCGCTTATTACTGCTTTACAGATCGAAGAGTTTTGGATTTCTTAGAAATGCAGAGTTTATTTTGTAAAATCACTTGTTTTTTGTGAGATGGAGTCTTGCTCTGTTGCCCAGACTGGAGTGCAATGGCACAATCTCAGCTCACTACAACCTCCGCCTCCTGGGTTCAAGCGGTTATCCTGCCTCAGCCTCCCCAGTAGCTGGGATTATGGGCATGTACCACTGCACCCAGCAAATTTGTGTATTTTTAGTAGAGACCATGTTTCACCATGTTGGCAAGGCTGGTCTTGAGCTCCTGACCTCAGGTCATCTGCCCACTTTGGCTTCCAAAGTGGGGAAGCCAATTCTGCTTTTTCTATATATTACATTTGAAACCATGTAAGTAAATTCTTAAATTTCCAATGTCAACACAATTTTCAAATTTAGTTAAATAAATGGATATACCTAATTTTTGACCCTTAATACATTTTGCATTGGAAACTCAATCGGCTTTGGACTGTAATTTTATAGGCATCATTGGCAATGAGATGATAACCTATGAAAAAATTACAGCTCAGGAGTTATACAGAAAGCAATAAAATTCTTAAAGAAGGGAAATTTTTTATAATTTAAAAAATTTTTAAAGTAATGTTTTAGAAACATAGTAGAAAATTTAGTGCCCTTTGTAAAACACAAGCAAACAAAAAACCTTCCTAATGATATTGGACATAGCCCTATTGTGTGTTTGTACAAATTAAATTATTTTGGTTTGTCTGGACTGTTTTCATCACTTTTTTTTTTTTTTTAGGAGGAGGGATCCAAATGCTTTCACTTCAGGGAACAGGCAGAACAATAAATACATTACTGACAAATCATGGCAGCATTGGTAGGCTAAGTAATAAAGCTGTTACATTCTTAAAAACAGTTAAGTCTGTCCTGGATACAAGAACTGTACCCCCTCTCCTCTTCAGTGGGGACCTTCATAAAATACCAGACCTGGGCCTGGCATGGTGGCTCACACCTGTAATCCCAGCACTTTGGGAGGCTGAGGCGGGCGGATCACTTGAGGCCAGGAGTTCGAGACCAGCCTGGGCAACATGGCGAAACCCCATCTCTACTAAAAATGCAAAAGTCAGCCAGGCGTGGTGGCACACACCTGTAATCCCAACTACTTGGGAGATTGAAGCAGGAGAATAGCTTGAACCTGGGCGGTAGAGGTTGCAGTGAGTCGAGATAGTGCCACTGCATTCTAGCCTGGGCGACAGAGTGAGACCCTGTCTCAAGAAAAATAAAATAAATACCAGACCAGATTGGAAAAGTAAGTTACTCCCAATTCATGATTACATTATGATATGTATGCTATCTGATAGAATTGGGGACATTCTTGTAAACACTATGCTGGCACCTTTGGTTTAATTATGAATATATCTCAACTGGAAAATCAAGGTTGCAACTCTTGTGTGCCATCTTCCTGAGAGGACCACACCAAAGGCCATGCCCCAGGGAGCCCAGAGGATTCAGGATGAGACAGTGCTCCTGACATTGCCTCCAATTCCTAACAAACTGGCTTCTTGTCAAATTCAGTTAAGTGTAACTAAATTAAAGTAACCCAGCCTCAGTATAGCTGTCAGACTCAAAAATCATTTTTCAAGGATTTTTATGGAAAACCGTGTGCTTTTCAATGAGCACAGAATTATCTGTGTGTGAGGGAAATCCATTCCATGAGTTTTTATTGAATTTGAGGTCCAAAGTTTCCTGCCTAAGAGCTTGACCCCATGTGCAAGAAATTGGGTGCAGAGGCTCAACAATAATCATCACCATTAGCTGGAAGCCATTCTCTCCCTCGGCTCCTGTTCTGGACTTTAACTTCAGTTCTAGCAGAGCCTTTGCATTTTTGGAACTAATAGATCTGAGAGGCTGTAGCACTCCAGACTGCCAGCTGTCCCTGGACCTGCTGAGGAGAGGGATGCATGCTCAGCATTTCAGCATCTACAAATTGCTTTACCCATTCAAAGCAAGGACTCACTCTGGGCTTAGTTCCTGGTGCCATGTAGAGTCTGCTGGGTGACCAGAGACATGCAAAGACAGACACGCAAACATATATGCACACTACAGGGACAGGTCCCCAGGCCTAGGCAGGTGTCAGCTGCAGCGGGAGGCTCACAGGCATGGGCGGCAAACCCTGATGGAGGGAGAAGAAAGCCCCAGGGAAAAGGCTCGGCTCTACCCAGGGGTCCCGTGTGTTTTGGACATGGCTGGGACACAGGGTGCATAGGGAGTGCGCGGAACGAAAGCGTGGAGAGGACGGCGAGGTGCCTTCTGGGAGCAGAAAATTACTAGGGTGGGTGAACAGTGTGAATTGTGCTCTGGGGCCATGTCCCTTTTAAAAGAGTACAATAGAGACCAGAATTAATGTTTAGGAACTAAATAGAAACTGTCACCAGGCATAGAAGTGGGGTGGGAGTGGGGTATCAGAGTGAGAGATAGGGATCCCCATAAGGACGATGGTGGAGAAAGCATAGGACAGGGGCCATTTGGATCAGATGTCAGGGACAGCATCAGCAAGTGTGTGAAGGAGGGGTGCAGGGAACAAACAGCCCAGAGACCTAACCCCCACCTCCTCTCTCTCCAGCTCTTGTCTTTTAACACCTTTGTTTTAATTATAAGTACATCTTAACTGGAAAATCGAGGCCGCAATGTCCCCATTTCCTTTCAAACTCATATTTCTAAACCATAACAAACCACATATGCTGGAGAATCGGCTTCGTTTCTTGGCATTCTTATAGTATCATTCTCTCCCAGTCCCGCCAGCCCTGACCTGCGGAATCAGCTTCCTGCTTGGTCCTCAGTGCGAGGACGGAGCTGTGGAGTCCCATTATCCTCTTGGAGTAGCAATCCCTGCATCTTAGAGCACTGACTCCTGGGGAGGGGCACCTTGATAGAGCGCCTTAGTGCCCTAAGACACAGGGTGCACCCTTTTCTATAGACCATAGCCATTTTCCAAGACTTTGTTTTGTTCCAAAGCCCATAACTCTCTCCTTCATGTTCCCATTCTGATTTCCTGCTTGGCTTATTGTCATATTGTTGAGAAAAGCAACAATCAGGTTTCAACCCGCTTCTTTCAACCAGTAAGTTTACCTGTGTCTGCCCTCACCTGGCTTCCCTCAACCAGTAAGCCTACCTAAGGCCTCCCGTCGCTCTGCCCTCCTCCCATCCCAGAGGTATTTGTTCCTTTGCCCCACTCACTCCATAGCCTGTATCTTCTGCCCTCTTCAGTTTCTGCCAGGACATTCATTATTCCTTCAAGTTTACCTTTTGTTGTTGTTGTTAAATTTCTCCCATTTGCTTCCCCCTATTTACAAACACTTAATGATAATTATATTATGATTATGATTTCTTATATTTACTGAGCACATTGTTTTCATAACAACCCTATGATACAAATTCCATTGGCCCATTATATATAGAGAGAAATGGAGTCACAGACAAGCTAAGTAACCCGCAGAAAAAGCACACAGCCAACAAGTGATAGAACCAGAATGTGAACTTGGACAGAAAAAACTCAAATGGCCCATCAACTTAGCAACTACATCATGCTACTACTCAGAACTTCCTCTTCCTTTATAAAAAAGGAAGGGAGCTTTCCCTTAGTCATGCGCTTCCCCAAATCTACCCTTTATCTATAAGATAGCTTTACTTTTCCCATTACTTCCAAACTCCCCAAAATGAGTTCATATCCACTACTTCAGCTTTCTTATCTCCCGTGTGCCATACAACCTTTTGCAAATGTCCACAGAACTGGCTTTCTGTAGTTCTGCAGTGATCTAAAAATTGTCAATCCAAAAACATTTTTTAATCTAAAGGATTCTTTCCCTCTGATCTCTGTGTCGTCATTTGCTTCTGCTTCTCAGAAGACACCTGTTTTCCTGCTGCCTTGCATTGCAACCTTCTTTCAGTGTGTGTATCTCATAGCTCTGATTACATTCTGAACTCTTGGTTGGCAAAATGTTTTACATCTCTTAGTTCTACACCATGTACCTAGTAGGTAGCACATTTCCAACACATGCCTATCAGCTCTAACTGGGATGTAATTGGAATTGTCTCTCATTGGCTCCCTGTAATTGAGATTGTCTCTCATTGGCCCCCTGTAATTGGGATTGTCTCTCATTGGCCCACTGACTTATTGCACACTCAGCAGAAATAGGTTGCTTTAAATTGCACACTTTTGTTTCCTCTTTAACATTGCTTCAGCACTCTGTGGCTAGAGCCCCTGGTTCACAAGGGTTTTTTTGTTGTTTTTTGTTTGTTTATGTTTTGAGATGGAGTCTCACTCTGTCGCCCAGGCTGGAGTGCAGTGGCGCAATCTCGGCTTACTGCAACGTCTGCCTCCTGGATTCAAGCAATTCTACCTCAGCCTCCCGAGTAGCTGGGACTACAGGTGCATGCCACCACACCCAGCTAATTTTTTGTATTTTAGTAGAGATGGGGTTTCATCGTGTTAGCCAGGATGGTCTCAATCTCCTGATCTCGTGATTGCCCGCGTCGGCCTCCCAGAGTGCTGGGATTACAGGCGTGAGCCACCGTGCCCGGCCACAAGGGTTTTTAATTGAAGAACAAAAGCCATGAAAGACACCCAAAGGCAGAAGAATCTTGATTATTTTTGCCCGAAGTCATTCTAATCAATTGAGAAACCCCAATACCACATCACTAAGCAAAGCTTCCAGCGGGGAGAGAAGGACCTTCAATACACACCATAGACAGCATTTCATAAGGGAAATTTTGTTTTGCAACTTTCTGTTGTACCCCTTGTTCAAAATTGGGATTGATTCACGAGGTTGTCAAAGACATGGTGAGAAGGAATACCATGATAGGTCCCCAAGATTCATGTTTCCAAAGAGCAAATAAACAAAGGCCTAGAGTTGGACACAGTAATTCTACAAAATTGACATTTCCCATGACCGCTAAAAACTTCTTTCTCTGTGCCAAACATAGGGATGGGTTGTCCTCGGGGACCACCTTTGGCTGTGTAGGCTTCGATCTGCTCCGGAAAGCGTCTCTAACCTGCCTGTGGGTTTTTGGTCCTTACAGCTCCTGATGGTCCACCTCAGGAAGTTCACCTGGAGCCTATATCATCTCAGAGCATCAGGGTCACATGGAAGGTAAACTCAGCAAACATTTGTATTCTCGGTGCTTTCCCCCCAGGGCGAGCCCTTCACTCCTGTTCAGTGTTATGACACCAAGACTCTCGAATTTTACAAAACTTTTATTTTTTCAAAATTAAGTTGAAAGCCCTTTTCTTAAAATGCAGTATTTGTATCCACATTTTGAATACTTTTACAGCAAATTCTGTGTCTCAGAGAATAAAGTGGTTGTATCTTTTTTTTTTTTCTTCCTTGAATCTTGATCAAGGTCTAAGCAGTGGTCTCTACAGAAATAGTAAAATTGATGTCCCTGACTGCATGCTCTCATTTCATCCCAGCAAAAATGTTTTCAAATTGCTTTTTTTAAATGGCAAAGCATGCGGTGGCAGACAGTCCACCGAGGTGGCAGAAAACAGGCCAAGTCCTCACTGTGCCACTAACTAGATGTGTTCTCAAGAAAGCCCCTAAATTTTCTTGCCAGTGAAGTGAGCTGTTGAATCCACTGACTCCCAGGGCAGTGCTACCCCATGTGTGGCCCATAGAGGCAGACTGGCTGCTGGTTACTTTAGTGTTTGTTGGAAGTAGCTGGGAGAGAAAGAAAGCTTGAGCCACAGTGTAAACAATTGCATCACTAAGCACATCGTTTCATTCAACAGCCATGGTTTCCATAGCAAATTTTCTCAAGTAAGGAAGCAGTGTTGATTCTGGAGCAAGCTCATCACCAACCACCACTGTTCCATGGCCTTCAGGTCAGTAGCATGGCCCTGACCTGGTGGGCCATGGCATTAGTCATCCTCCTGAATGTGCTCTTGGAGATGGCTCTGTCTTAGGCCAAATTCCGTTTCATCCAGAACGTTATTATCGAATCAAAAGTTCTGTAACATTGCATTAACTATCCCCGCTCTGAATTTCTCTCATGGCATGTGATTTTTTTTCTTGTCTCTTTCCTCACCGTTTTTTTTCTGTGGCGTCACTGGGAGAAGAGGGCAGCCAACAACTACAATAAGGTCTTCACATCACACACCTCTTCTAACCATTGCATCTGTTTGTTTGTTTGATTGTTTGTTTGTTTTCCTTCTAGTATGGGTTCTTTCATAAGATGACCAGCCTCTGTAACAAAAATGGATTTTCATTGTTGGGGCGGATACCACCTTTGGTATTACGGGCGTTAATGCAGCGAGCCCCTTTGTGTCAGCGTTTCTCAACCGCAGCCAATGAGTTGTGTTTCCAGCGGGCAGCGTGATATGACTGTTTAGCTGCATAGAAAGTGCAGGCCGAGGAGTGTGGGAGGTGGTGTCATTGGTCTTTGTAAGCACATCCACCCCCTGCGAGCATCACACACATTGTAGAATAAAGACGCTCAGCAAGCCATAACCCCACACGCATTCCCGCCACTCTACAAATGGAATGCTGACTCACTCTGTCTTGAATTGAAGACTGTGAAGTTTTACCCACTAGCTTTACACATTCTCTCGTGTTTTGCCCTGAAAAAGACCAGGTATTACTGTGGCCTCAAAAGCTTTTTGGATCTTTTGGGTCCTGCATGAGAGAGGTGTCTGTCCACAGAGGATCTAGCTCTTATAACTAAAAATGGAAACTTCTGAGGCTTTAAAAGGCATTGTATCCTTTCTCTCTCTGTAGAAAGCAGCCACAAAAGTCAGTGCATTGCAGTTAAATTTCTCTTTAGTGCCAAAGGGTGAAATGTTGTGGGACTATTAAAAGGAAGCCTGGCTCTCATTAGATTGTGAATCGACTGAATACATTGTTCATGGAGGAGTGCAATCTATCTCTGTAGTGGGCCTTTGTGGCATGGCCTGTCAGCAGGCAGACTTGCCGGTGATCTAACTGACTAATGAGGTTGGGGCTGCCCTGTCACCAGCTTAGCATTTCACATCGGCCTGTTTATATAATGAGCTTTTAAAGGACACCACTGATTCAATCGAATTGGACACTATTACACGAAATCTTAAGTATATGTAAAGGACAATATGTTACATATAACATGCCTTTATTTATGGCATAAAATTCAGAATATCTGTTTTGTGTAAGGAGAAAGAAAGAAGGAGAAATAGCGTTAGCCCCAAAGAGGGAGCCCCACATCTGTCAGCCACGGTGGACATATGCAGTCGTGGGAAGTCTAAGGTGGAAGCTCATTCATGGTCACGGACACTGATCAGAAGTAAAAGATGCATTCAGTACAGAGACACAGGGTAAAGGAGGAAATAGCTCTGGGGTTTTGGTGGGAAAATAGCCATTTAGACTCTAAGCCTTTGAAAGGTAAGGGGCACTTTGGTGGCCTTTCTGTAACACTGGAGATAGATATTACATTTATTTAATTATCATTGAATAAGCACTGCTTCTGTAATGACACCCTCTATTGATCAAAATAAGCAACTTTCCACTTTTATTTCATTTTATTTTATTTATTTATTTTGAGACAGAGTCTCACTCTGTCGCCCAGGCTGGAGTGCAATGACACGATCTTTGCTCAGTGCAACCTGTGTCTCCCGAGTTCAAGCAATTCTCCTGCCTCAGCCTCCCAAGTAGCTGGGATTACAGGCATGTGCCACCACACCCAGCTACTTTTTTTGTATTTTTAATAGAGACAGGGGTTTTCACCATGTTGGCCAGGCTGGTCTTGAACTCCTGACTTCACGTGATCCACCCACCTTGGCCTCCCAAACTGCTGGGATTACAGGCGTGAGCTACCACACCTGGCACCCTTTTTATCTTAGTTATTTCTTTCACCAAAGAAGAGCTTCTAATTTTAAAATCTTTCATGTCCAGCAAAGGTTGCTCAGGACCTAGTGAATGCAGCCATCCTACATCAGCTGCAGCACCTGGATTCAGGCCCCTTATCTTGCCTCGCCTTCCCAGGGATACCTACCCAAGCAGCAGTCCACAAGTGTCATCGTCTCTCCTGTCAGTGTTCAGGCAGTTTGTAACATGCTTACCTCTCCTGTCCATTCCTGCTCATTTGAGGCTCAGATTGTGCATGACTGCCCCCATGAAGATGGGAATCCCCAGAGTGCAATTAGAGTTTCACCCTCTATGTTACCCATTGCTCTTGGCGATGGCTCAGGGAGGTTCCCACCCAGTGGCTTCTGCAGTCTGTTTCATGTGCATCCCCTCCACTGTTCTGGGAGCTCCTTGGCAGCAGGAAGAGAGGCTTACTCAGTTCTGATCCCTCATGGCTGGCATGTGTTCCATGAATGAATGAATGGGTAAGTGAAGGAGAGGTGAGTGTATATGTGAGCTGGGAATGAAGAGGCCTAGAAGACAAGTGTTCCATATCACAATTGCCTGTGAAGCATTACGTGTTTCCAAGACTGCCATGGAGATGGCATCCCCGCTATCAGGATCTCCAGAGAGCAAACATGCTGAGCTCAGGTCTAACTCATGATACAGTGAAATGCCCTAGACTATACAACGGCAGGCACCCAAAGATGTGAACCACACTCAGTACACCAGGCGACCAACCACTTTTCATATGAGTTTCTACTATGGTAATTTTCAATATAGTTTATTGAAAAGTAAAGGGCAGTAGTGGTCCAATTTGTGATAAGTTTCATGGGAAATGGACATCTTCACATCCCAAATATAAGCCCATAGAAAGATATTCAAGAGGAATATCTTTCTATAGGCTATATTATGATGTCTATATTATGCAAGATGAAGTCTCAGAAAGGGCTCTTAAATACTTTTACAAATATTAAGCTAATTAAAGTGCTACCCCATGCCTTGACAGAAATCCAAAAGACAATGTAAGCAGTTCTGAATAAAATTAAAAGTAAATGACAATAAAGTTTCATTTGACATTCTTGGAGAAACAAAAGGATTTGTGTAAGCAAATACAATTTAATTCATGGCAGGTTTTGTTTCTGATTCAAAATCAGAAAGAATATTTAAAGCTATGGATAATTGATAACATATTTGATGAAGTACCTGAACATTGTACAACTAAGGAATTCTTTGGTTTTTCAGAAAATTCCAATTTTTAGTTTATCTCCTAAAGTGTCTCTTTTAGCAGTGCCTGTCACCTTCTCTCCTAATCAGTCTCAGAATCAGCTGACCCTCTTTGGATGCAAATTAAGGACAATGTGATTACCAGCTACTTGTGTGCATGCTTGTGTGTGTGTGTGTGTGTGTGTGTGTGTGTGTGTGTTTGCCATGGTCACTCATAAAATAAAACATTCATTATTTAGAATATTTAATGATTATATACATCTCAAAACATTTATCCAGAGAATGCAATTTAAGACAGAGTTTTTTTCCTATTGATATAAAATTTGTGTTGTTGTTTTATTTTTGCATTAAATAAGAAATCTTTGCAGAACCACAGGCTGTCCCCAAAATATGAAATGGTCAATTGCTTAAATATTTCTGTGCTGAGAACAATTATCAAAGTGATTACTTGCAATAAAAATCCTGAGAATAATTTTACCATTTGGCCCTCAGTATTGTACTATCTGCGTGAAAATTTTACTGAGAATAAGCAAAATTCTCATTTAGAATTAAGAAAGAGAGGTATGATTTCTGTAAAATACTAAGTTGAATATTCAGAGATTTAATTAAATTTCAGTAATCTGAAGAATATTTTTAACCAGAATATCACATCTCCACTATACCCAATAATTCCAGCTAATTGAGGCATCATTACAACCTATTAAGTTTCAGAGTTGAGCTCTTACAACAGGAAAATGACTCAGTCTGTCATTTAAAAACAAAACTGCCTTATTTCCAGTGACCTCCGTAGTCATCGTTTAATAAACTGCAGGCTCCACTTGCCTTCTGCACTAAAATCCCTCTACCCCAGGGAAGTGCAAGGTACCTTGGAAAAGGCAGTCTTGGAGGCACCTTCCAGCACTAGTATTTCCTGGCCAACTGGGACAGCTGTCCTTAGAGATATTTGCTCCCCGCCAGGCACAATGCTAAACTTCTGCATGCATTATCTCATTTGATCTGTGAGCTGGGAACACCCAGTTTTGTGCAGAGGGAGATCCTGAAGTCAAAGGAACTTACCCAAGTTCTGAAGGCTGGTGACTGTCAGATTGAGGACTTCCACCCAGGCTGCCTGGTTCTGCCTCCTGGGTTTCTGAGCAGTCAACCAGTTAATTACTAGGAAGTGCCAAGATTGTAGTTCGTGCATAATAATGCTCAATAAATATTAACTCCCTTTACTATTCCTTGCAAACTCATGTTATAAATTATACCCAACCCCATAAAAATTAAAGATATATGAAATTTACATTCTTACGTAGTATCCTTTTCTTTCCAAATTGTAAACTTAAGCTTAGAGTAACTTTCATAGTGAGTAGACACCCTTTTTTCCTATATCAACTGAAATTCAAAAAGGTTGCCTTGAAATAAACTTTACTTAATTCTTCAACTATCACTTTAATCTTTAGGCTATGAAAAATGACAAAAGTTTGCATTTGCTTTTAGGAACTAATCCATTGGTTCTAGCATTGGTTTTATAATAGCCTTATTGAAATTCCTGAACACCAACATGTCTTACAAATACTTAAAGAATTTTTAGCCCTTCTCATATTAACGAGTCTAACCTCCTTCCTTGATAACAAGAAAAGAAAAAAAAATTTCAAAATCTCTGGTCATCCGTATAAAGTAAGATTGTTCTTTCTCAACTTTTTTAGGTGGACTAGACTCTAGGTTCCGTGAGGGTTGAGGACATGTCTTGTGTGTTCACTGTACCCTCAGCAGGAGTGCAATTAATATGCGTTAAATTAATGCATAAACCATTTACCATTGTTTACTTTTATCATAAAAGGTTCATATCAAGAGGTGGTGCTTTTAAAAAAAAAACTGTGGACTTTCTAGAAAGCCCTAGGTGACTAAATTTGCATCTTTTTGGTGTATATGTAAACTATGCATGTTTCTTTAATGAAGCCATGGTGTTTATTTATACCATTTGGAATGTATTCTGCATCTCTCCGTCTATACATTGGGTTACTCCTCTCGGTTTAGCCATGTGATGGGCCTTCTTCAAGGACTCCAGTTCTCTGTCCCAGGACAGAGCTGCCAGCCTGCATGCACAAAGGGTCCGGCAGGTCTCCTCAACTAAGCAGGCAGTTCCCTTGGTTTCCAGCCTAGAGCGCAGCCAGGAAAATGCTGGCTGCATTTGCAAGAGCTACTCGCAGCCACAGGGGTGGAATCTAGGTCTGATGCTCAGGCAGGCTGGGAAGAGACACTATCTGGGACTGTCAGCCTAAGAGGCAATTCTTGATTCAAACCCCACTGAAAAAGCTGTACCTCTCCAGCAGAGTGGCCTTGACAGGACACAAATTGAACTTGGACTAAGGCTTAGGACCAAGGCCGTCTGCCGTCGAGCCAGAAATCCTGTTGGATGGTTTCTTCTAAGAGTTTCACGTTGAGTCTGGATGAACACAAAAAATCTAAGTGTAGGCACTTTGATTTTTTGTATAACGGTTAGGTTATAAGCTGTAAAGTTGCAATATAACTTTAGAAGGCAAGTATTGTATTTGCCTGATTTAAAGAGCATATTATCAGAAATGCAAATAAGGTTGCAACTAAAGGGGTATTTTGGACATCTATTGACGCTCATCCTTAGGTGTTTTCTTAGTGCATCAACATTACATTTTTACAATTGGACCAGGTCCTGAAGTTGTGACACTAGGTCAAAAATTGTGTATGGTCAGAATGATATTGAAAATGACTTAAATTGTCTAATAAGCACACTATGCATAATATTCACTAGGAAGCTTTACAGTAACATATATATACAAACATGTAATATTCATAGTGAAAACTGAAAAGTACATGTAAAAATATAAGTTGACACTATTTCATCACATTTTAAAGTAACATTAGCGTAAGTTAAATCCATTTCCAACAAGTAAATTATATATAATTAGAATACAGTGTAAAAAGTACTGGATTAAATTTCAGAAAATTAGATACGACACCCATCTCTACACCTAACAAAATGACCTTAAGTCAC
Organism: Homo sapiens; assembly: GCF_000001405.40. Classification (NCBI taxonomy): domain Eukaryota; kingdom Metazoa; phylum Chordata; class Mammalia; order Primates; family Hominidae; genus Homo; species Homo sapiens. Next base: position 299,910 of record NW_025791814.1, on the reverse strand, counting down.
TTGATTTGTCATTATTGGAACTTGAACCCTTTTCTCTAGTTCTGAGTTGTGTGTTTTATTCATTATGTCATAACCAAGAAAGTAGCAGTGCATTTTAATGATGAATTCTCCTCTCTCCTCACCTCCCAGTGCTGACTTGATAGCCATAGAGGATAACGGATGTGGGCCCACTCTGGAATCCATAAGGTGGTCCCTTGATTAACAACCCCGATTTGGATCCCTATCCTAGATGCTGATTCCGCCCACCCCACCAATGGCTCTGGACAGCACTGCCATTTCTGATGGCAAATATCTCCCAATAAATGTAAATGTGGTGAAATTTTCCCAACAAAAAATAGAAGTTTATTTTCAGTAACCTAATAATAGATGGATAGGGTCGGGCACAGTGGCACATGCCTGTAATCCCAGCATTTTGGGAAGCCAAGGCGGGCAGATCACTTAACATCACGAGTTCGAGACCAGCCTGGCCAACATGGTGAAACCCTATCTCTATTAAAAATACAAAAATTAGCCAGGCATGATGGATCATGCCTATAGTCGCAGCTACTCATGAGGTTGAGGCAGAATAATTCCTTGAACGCTAGGAGACAGAGGCTGCAGTGAGCCAAGATTGCTCAACTGTACTCTAGCCTGAGTGGCAGAGCAAGACTCGTCTCAAAAATTTAATTAATTAATTTTTAAAAATAGATGGGTAGGTAGTAATTTAATAAAAGTATTCAGAAGACCATCTTAGACAGTTTTATCAGTTCTCATATAATCCTAACTCTGCTTTTCACAGAGAACAAATTGGAAAATCAAGCTAAAGTTAATATGGCATTGAGCATTATGAATGCATGGATGCCATCCGTACAGGGAGTGCATAGGTGGATATACACTGTTTAATGTGCTGTATTTCCTCAGACAGCAGTCCTTAAGCCATCTCGCTGATGACATTTCCCATCTTTTCAGAGAAATCAAGTGAGATACATAAGTTAGTAAACAGGGCACAGATGTTAGAATGAAAAAGGAAAACATATATCCAATCAAGAATTACATAGACATCATCAAATGGCATCTGCTATGTCATGGACCCCTCTCCTAAGGCAAGGGAAGAAACATGACATTAGTTTTATTGTTATTATTATGGCAACTCGGCTGGACGAAGTTGGTTAGGGTCCATCACAGGAAGAACCCCAGCCAGGAGGGCACAGCTATTTTCCAGACTATTTTCAAGGTAGCATGAAGCAAGACAGAAAAACACAATGTGTGCCTTCAAACGTATTTCACTAGTTCAAATACATTTAAGTTAATGCACTAAGATGTAACAAACTATTTCAAGATAGCCCATAACATTTTTAAAGCCAAACTCTTCATTGTATTAAAAATGCTGAAAGCTACTTCAAATTCTTTCAATTCCTGTAATAAACTCTTCCTGTTCTTTTGAAAAATTTAAGTTGAGACCAAAAATAAAAGTACTTTGTGCTTTGAGTAATTATAGATGTATAAGAAATAAAACCATTTTACCTTCTTGTTTTGCCTGCCAGTAACAATTTGAAGTTGGAAACAGGGTTTGTTTTTCTGTAAATAACAGAAGAATTTAGGTGGCAGATCCTTAGTGAATTTAGGAAACAAGACTTCCCACTGAAGGAGAGTGTGATTCAGGGAGTGCCTGTGTTGCTCCCGTGGGCCCGTGTGGAATCTGTGGCACGTGTTGCATCTGGACTTGTGGAGTATTTCCCCTCAACATAAGCCAGAGTGTTCACAGGGGCCCTTGGTCTGAATGCTTCTAGCACATTCCTAACAGGGAACATACAGTAGCCTATTGGACAACTGTTTCTTTTCTTTTTTTCTTTTCTTTTGTTTTTTTGTTTTTGTTTTTGTTTTGAGACAGGGTCTCACTCTACCACCCAGGCTGAATGCAGTGTAGTGGCACCATCCTGGCTCACTGCAGCCTTGACCTTCCAGGCTCATGTGATCCTCCTACCTCAGCCTCCTGAGTAGCTGGGACTACAAGTGCATACCACCATCACCATGCCCAGTTAACTTTTTGATTTTTGTAGAGACAAGGTCTCACTATGTTGCCCAGGCTGGTCTCAAATTCCTGACCTGCAGCGGTCCTCCTGCCTCGGCCTCCTAATGTGCTGTGATTACAGGCATGAGCCACTGTGCCTTGCCCAGACAACTTTTTCAATATTCTCCTCGCAAATACCTATTCATGCATGTTGATGTCTAAAATTCTCTTTAGTCAAGGCTAAAGCTTTTCATTACCCAAAAATAGATAAGAGGCTAGGCATGGTGGCTCACACCTATAATCCTAGCACTTTCAAAGGCTGAATTGGGAGGATTGCTTGAGCCCACGGGTTTAAGACCAGCCTGGGCAACATAGTGAGACCTCATCTCTATCAAAAGAAAAAAAATAGCTGGGTGTGGTGGTGTGTGCCTGTGGTCCCAGCTGCTCAGGAGGCTGAAGTGGGAGAATCACTTGAGCCTGGGAGGTCGAGGCTGCAGTCAGCTGAGATGGCATCAATGCACTCCAGCCTGGGTGACAAGGCGAGACTGTCTCAGGAAAAAAAAAAAAAAGAAAAAAGAAAAGGAAAGAGAGACAAAGCCTAGCTCTAGAGAAAGAATGCCATCCTCCTCTTAATCCCTACTGAGCTATAGAGGGCAGATATTGAATCCAGGACTGGAGCTCCATTGTTACTGCAGACATTACTATTCCTTGTCTTCTGATAGAACACAAGTTAGAACTATCCATTGGAGCATGGATAAAAGGAGAGTAACGAACTCTAACCAACACTGGGCAGAGCCCAGGCCTTTCTCCAATGCTCCTTTCTTAGTAGTGCCTCTCCTGTCAACCTTTCTCCCCTCTCTCCTTCCCACCCTGCCTTGGACCTGCAGCACACCCAGTAAGTTCTACCTCACATGCTGGTTCTGTCCACAGCACTGTCCTGTACGAGTCTGCAAACTGTTTCTCTAATGGGCCAGAGAGCAGATATTTTCAGCTTTGTAGGCCCTGCAGTCTCGGTCTTAACTGCTCAATTCTGCTGCATAGGCACAGCTGCAGTCCATGCGTGGATGAGTGAAGACAGCTGGGATCCAGTAAAACTTCACCTAGGAAAGGTGAAATTTGAAGTTCACATAATTTTCACATGACAAAATATTCTTCCTCTTTTGATTTTTTTCAATCATTTAAAAATGTAAGCCACAACAAGAAACCGTTGTTAGCTAAGAGCCACATAAAAACAAGCAGCCAAACAGATCTGGAGGAGGGACCAGTTTGTCAACCCTTATTTCCTGGATTGAGATGATCTCTCGAGAGGGAGCCACATCCAACTGAGAGAGTCTCATCTGAGACAAGGCTAGCCCCTCCCGCCATATATGATATATGCTAAATCATCACTCTCCAGTTCAAAGATCCACAGATCTTTGGGGCAGGGGCACAATCCCTCCAACCTCTTTGCTAATGCATAACAGAAGTGACCTTTGCTCCAGTTCCCAATAAGTTCCTCATCTCGTCTTAGAACTCCTCAGCCTGGACTTCTTTGCCTATATCACTACCACCATTGTGATCATAACAATTTAACAAGTCTCTGGGAAGTTCCAGACTTTCCCTCATCTTCCTGTCTTCTTCTGAGCCCTCAACACTCTTCCAACCTCAGCTCATTACCCAGTTCCAAAGTTGCTTCCATATTTTCAGGTAGCTTTATAGCAGTGCCCCACTCAAAAATGGCTTCTGGTTCATTGGTTCTTTTGGCACAGATGTAAAGCACTCAGGAATTCCTTCCAGTTATAAAATTAAAGCTCACCTTTCAGTGGGCAGGCTCCTTCTGAGACCTGGATCTTCTCTGGTTCTTCTGAACAGATACTTAGCAAAAATGACAAAGGCTGCAACAACCCGGCGTGTGACTGATGCCGCTTACTCCTTTACAAGCCCCTTTCTCTCTCTCTCTCTCTCTCTCTCTCTCTCTCTCTCTCTCTCTCTCTCTCTCTGTCTTAGTTTGACTGTCACAGCTTCCACCTGCCTCCTGGCAGTGCCGTTCCCATCTGTGTGTCCCTTCCAGCCCAGGGTCACTCTCACCCGCTACTGGCTCTCAGCCTCATCCCTGTGGATTCCAGGACTCAGTTTGTCTCCATACTTACCCTCTCCTCCTACATCACTTAAGGGTTCTCTTAGTTATTCTTTAATTTATATTATTAAATATAATATAAATTATATTATATATAGGGTGGGAGGGAAATGGAGGCAGTTCCAGTTTAAGGACCTACAGGGTAGACAGAGGCTGCCCTGTGTGCATGTCAGAGCACTGGCTGGGGCGACTCCTGGCTTGGCTCCCTGCCTTGGCCTCCAGCTTCCCACGCCCTGCCCTCCCCAGTGGAAAGGGCCTGTTTCGTTCCAAGGAAGATTCTTCTTCACCCTCCTTTCCTGCCTTTTCTCATCAAGACATCCAGGATGCCTCCAGAGCATGCAGACCCAGTGGTTTGTTGGGGTGAGAGGTGGATGTGGATGTGCCTTCATCTCACTCAGCTCCACCCCTGCCCGACTGACCTCTTTACCAGCGGTGTTGGATCATGATTGGCCCTCCCCTGGCGCTGTCTTACAGAGCTTCCAGAATCAGACACTGTCTTCTCCCATCCCGCAAAACTACTTCCGAGCATTTTTCATGGCCCCATGACCATGCCTTTGAAATCCTGCCTCTTGTGCTTGTTTATCAGATTGGAGTCGGGGTGCCCCTCCCTCCCTTATCTCTGTGGCCTTTCTCGGGCCCCTGCCCTGCCCTCCTTGGCCACACTGCCGTTACAGGGCCTCCATTACCTGCAGAGGGGCTACTCTGGGTTGGGCCCTCCAGGCGTGTGTGGTGGGCCAAAGCCCTTTGGGTTCACTCAGCCACCGCTAAATAGTTGGGGCCCAGCCTCAGGCTCACAGACTAGCATACCCCCTCTTTTGCATCAGAGTGCACCCTCTAGGTCCCCATTGTTGGGCGCGGGAGCTAGGTGGGGGTATTCCCAGAGGCCAGCCCTCAGAGTTGATTCATAGGAAGCAAAGCCCGAATGCCCTTGTGTGGTCCTTGGCAGAGAGCACTGATAGGCCTCTGTGGCTGGTAGGAAATGTTAACTGTGGTTAGCAGGTGGTGTGATGTATGAGGAACAACAGAATTCAAAAAGGGAGTGTCCCAAAAAGAGGAGCTATGTCACAGGTGTTTGTTGGCTGGATGAATAAAGCGGAAGCTGTCCTACACTTTAGAAATGGAATAAATGGAGTTTTGCTTTGCAGTAGTTAACCTCAATTCCATGTCATAAAATTATCAATCTATTTCTAGCATTCTGCATTTGTGTCTCAAGGCAAAGCCCACATATACCTTGGCCACTCTTTCCTCCTCAGCTGCCAAGTCTGACTAGAATATGGCAGCTGCAGCCTGCAAGTAACATTCTTGGCTCTCAAGACAGTGCCTATTTCAAATAATCTGTCATTTATCATTTATTTCTCAAACTGAAATTGCACAGCCCCTTTGTTCTAAGCACTGTCTCATTATCAGGTCATGTGGCCCTTTTCTATTTCATGAAATGTGGACATCTCATCCTTTCCTAGCTCCTCAAAAGATAATGACTTTGGGGGAGCCAGTCACGTGGCCATACATCTACCCATTATGAGACCTAGGACACAGATACTGTATTTAATACAGTGCAACTCTAAGGAGAGATATATGAACAAAAATATCATTTGAGACCGGAAGCAGTGGTTCACTGCTGGTAATCCCAGCACTTTGGGAGGCTGAGTTGGGCAGATTATTTAAGCTCAGGAGTTGGAGACCAGCCTGGGCAACATGGCAAAAACCCATCTCTACAAAAAAAGTTCAAAAATTTGCCGGGTATGGTGACATGTCTGTGATCCCAGGTACTCAGGAGGCTGAAGTGGAAGGATTATTTGAGCCTGGGGTGGTTGAGGCTGCAGTGAGCCATGATCCCACCACTGCACTCCAGCATGGGTGACAGAGTGAGACCCTGTGAAAAAGAAAGAAAAATAAAAGAAAAAGAGGGAAGGAAGGAAAGGAAGGGAGGAAGGAAGGAAAGGAAGGGAGGAAGGAAGGAAGGAAGGAAGAAGAAAGGAGAGGAAAGAAAGGAGAGAGGAGAGGAAAGGAATTATTTGAGGCAATAATGTAAGAGGTCTCCTCGACCTGACATAGCCCCCTCAAAATCCATTGTCCATGGACCAAGATAGCCAGCTGGTTCTCACACCACCCCTATACCTATTGTAAAGCAGAATCCCTTTAGTGCTGAGTAAGGTAGATCTTTAAATTACTCCCAAGACCAGGAAGGTCTAACAGTTTTATGTGCATTTATTCCCTTTTGTTTGGCCAAGAACCAGGAAAATGGGCTACTGGCTAACCTGAGAAATGGGGGAATGCATAGTTGCTGCTTTTTAACTAAATAGTCTCTCCCAGCAAAGCCAAATCTAAATCACTGAGTGACTCCCAGTGATAACAACAGTGATTCTCAGACTCAGGGAGCACTGGTATCCCCTGGAGGGCTTTTTAAAACACACCTCACCAGGCTCCACCCCCAGAGTTTATTCCTGATTCAGGAACTCTGAGTGGGTCCCCAGTTCTTGCAGCTCTAACAGTTTTCCAGGTGATGTGGATGTTGCTGGTAGCGCACCATACCACTACATACAGGCTCCATAGGTTCTGTCCCGTAGATATGTCCCTAGCTTCATCTGTGCTTGTACCGTCCCCCACCCCTGTGATCACCATGGATACCTCACCCCAGAGTCACTTGAGCCTCTCTCCATTCCTGGGTGTCTTCTGTCCTTGCACCTGGGTGCAGCTGTGTATGCCAATTGCTTTGGCGACAGCATTGTACCCTCCAAGGCAATGTCCAGTCACCCTTTAGCTCAGGTGAAGTATGCTCTTCTCTGGCAATCCTTCTGACCACGATTTGCCCCTCCATAGTACTCTGGGCAAACCTTCAGCACTGCAAGTATCAGGCAGTATTCTGAGCACTGATTCACTCAAAGGTGTCCCTGGTTGTGCCATGCCTTGTGTAGAACAGATGCCCAGTTAAGGTTTGTTCAATGTGATGCACCCATTCACTGAGCAAGCTTATGGAATGGCTACTGTTTATGTTGGAAAGCAGGTAAGGGGAGGCTGCAGAAAACGCACAAAGATGAAAAAGACTGTCCACCCAACTTGTCACATAAGGGAAATGAGGATAGATTACATTTTAAGTGGATTTGGAGGAATCTATAAAGAAAATGTTCAATTCATTTCCCAACTAAATTATTCAGCATGCCTGAGAAAGGCAGCATTCTTCAAACGTGAAATTCTGCAGTGAGGCTCTTAGCAGACTCCAGCCAACAGGTGAATTCTGCACATCCAGCAGAGGCCATTTCCTTTCAATGGGAAGGGGGCAGGAGGCATGAGGGAAACAGAACATGGCTGGTGGTCTTCAGCACAAGAGATGCCTGTTCTAATCATTCACATCCAGGCAGGTGCAGTGAGCATTTGCACGTCTACTGTTTTACTGTCCCTTTAAAGGATGATGCATCTGCCACAGGCGGCTTGCAGCCGACTGATTGAGAAGGACATATAAAATAAGTCACTTGCACACCGTGCAAATACATTGACATGGTGCGACTGTTGTCATGGAGATCAAAAGAGAAGGTTTCTTAAAGGAAGTGGAGGTTGGGAGGGATTTGGAAGCTGGAGAAAGGGCATCTGGGAGGATGAAAGGAGGCTGTTGAGGAGGACTACAGGAGAAAAAAACCTGCCAGGCTAGGAAGGGGGAGAGAGCATTCCACAGATGGCAGATAAATGAAAGAAATGAGAAGAAATCAGGATCATTACTGAATCCAAAGGCAAATGAATGGGGGAGTAAAGTTCAACATGGGAAAAACAATCTTTGTGTGAGAAACCTAACAAGGAGCAGGCATGACCTTCTCTTAGATTTGCACTGCGTTCAAGGGGATTTGAGAAGAGGCAAACAGAAAGCACTCACTTAGGAAAGAAGTCGGTTGTTTGTAAATACGTCCTCAAGGATTTCTTTAACTTAAACACATTTCTAAATTTCAACATTTTCCCTGTGGAAAGGGCCTTGTTTTATTGAGTTCTTAAATAGGAGTAGAAGGGAGCCCTTAGTTTTTTGTTTTTTTTGTGTTTTTTTTTTTCCATATGCTTACGTTTCAAAGGACTCCTTTAATTTGTCTTAAGATGACTGGTTACCAGGTGAGATTTGCTGTAAATCTGCAGGTCCATCATCATAAAAACATGTAACCCACCGGCTGGCTGAGTAAGTGAGCAAATTCTCTTTCTGGAATCCTTCTTTTAAGAAGGAAAAAAATGAATGACAGTGTCCAAATAAATTGGCTCATCAGAAGCTATTTTCATCCCTGGTGGGGCCTGGGCAATGAAGCTCAACCCCTCCAAATCCTGCCTCAACCTGTCATCCTTCTGTGTAGGCCAGCAGGCTAAGTCCCAGTGCGGAAGCCAACTCTCAGCTTGAATCCACACTTCCCGGCTGTCACACTAGACTGCTGAGTTCTCCACTTCTGTAGTGGCTAAGCCAGGCCTCTCTTCAACAGCTAAACCATGTGTCTGCAGTCAAGGAATTTCTTCTGACTTCATACCCTTGCTATCAGTCCTTTACCCAGTTAGATTATAAACCTGTACCTGTGATCATTCTTACCCACCTCTTTTTTTTGCATCTCATGTGTGTTCAAAACCATTCTCTTCTCCATCTGCAAGAATATCTTCTGAGAACATCCACAGTGTTGAAGCCCCGATTTAGACAGGGGGAAATAACAAGTGAGATTTCATTCTGTAGGGTTCTTTGCATTCTAGAGCTTGCAATGACATTCTTTGAAACCACGTTTCATTGAGAATGGTGGCCACTAGAGGAGGTAGAAGTGATCAGTGAATGCCAGTGGAGACCAGGGAGGGAGAAGGCTTCTTGGTGGGAGTGGTCTAGGGAAGAGCCCTGGTGAGCTGGAAGCTGAGCTGGCCTGCAGAGAAGGAGTAGTGGGGGTATTCTTTGAAAGAAGAAGGAAGAACATTTTTTGACAACAGCTTTTATAAGGTGGGAATATGTAAGACAGTTGGGATCCCCACCCTTTTTCAGGCAGTCAGAGAGGAACGCAGGTGAGCAAGCAACACCCAGGAGGCATTAGTCTTGAGAGATGAGGCAGCGATCAGATCTCACAACAGGTACTACTGAGATCGGGAGACAGAGATCAAAGAGGCATGGTCAAAGTGGTTTCCTAGGAAATTTGTCTTCTCCAATATTATGCAACTCAGATTCAAAATATGTTTCCAGATCCCTACCTGATTTCTTGTTTTCCTTTTCTTCTTACCCCACCATTAACCTCATTCACTGAGTTTCATGAAAGTGAACCATTATTTCCACCCATGTATCAATTGTTCTACAGTGCTAATTAACAACCTTAATACAGTGTTCTAAAGATCATTTCCCTATAAGGATATATTCTCTATACCCCAGAAAACCATCTCCCTTTGTTCCTAGTAGACACATGCTCCAAGCAAAGATGTCTAAAGCATCATTCAAAACAATTTTCCAGTTAAGGATCTTATGCACTAATTTGCCTTGGGAATATGAAGCCCACTGCCAGACAAATGGATTCACGTGTCTCCACTAAGCACACCTTCCACTCCTACTGACTCATCCATAACTCAGAGTGAGCCTCTAGTGTCATTTTCGAAAACCTGAACCACAGGCCATAACATTTCTTACACTTAATATACAAAATCCCTACATTTATGGATTTTTTTCAGAGGTTGTTTTAAAATACATCCACAAGGATTTCTTTAATTTAAATGCATTTCTAAATTTCAATCTGACTAGTCTATCTACAAATTAATAAAGTAACTTAAACTTTCCCTGATAAAGAATTTTTGCTTGCTTTTATGCATAAAAATATACAATTTTCTCTTCATGTGATCTATTAAATTTTCCTCTGATTAGAAATGCCATGTATACTATTACTTTACAAAACTAACAAACTTTGCAAAAGGGTGAAAAGTTCTCTGAGGCTCTATGAGCGGTTAATACCAAATACAACTTTGGAGAATTCCTACCCTGTACTTGCCTTGAGATAGTTGTTTTAACATATTTGACCTTTTGTTTCTTCATGTGTAAAGAAGCATACTTATACTGTGTGGGGTTTTTTAGGGAAAGAAAATGAAATAATATACATAAAGCACCAATTACAATGGGAAAAAACAGTGTTCAATAAGTGGAAGTGGAGGTGGTAGAGGTAGTAGTAGTTGTGGTCATTGTGGTGGCATTCATGTTGGTGTGGGATAGTAATGGAATGATGGATGGTTGTGGTGATAGTGATATTGGTGTTGGGATAGTGATGGAATAATGGATGGTTGTCGTTATAGTGATGTTGGCACTGGGATTGTGATGGAGTGATGGATGTTGTGGTGACAGTGGTGTTGGTGTTGGGATTGTGATGGAGTGATGGATGGTGGTGGTGACAGTGGTGTTGGTGTTGGGATAGTGATGGAGCGATGGATGTTGTGACAGTGGTGTTGGTGTTGGGATAGTGAAGAAGTAATGGATGGTGGTGGTGATAGTGATGGTGGTGTTGGGATAGTGATGGAGCGATGGATGGTGGTGGTGATAGTGACGGTGGTGTTGGGATAGTGATGGAGCGATGGATGGTGGTGGTGACAGTGGTGTTGGTGTTGGGATAGTGATGGAGTGATGGATGTTGTGGTGACAGTGGTGTTGGTGTTGGGATAGTGATGGAGTGATGGATGTTGTGGTGACAGTGCTGTTGGTGTTGGGATAGTGATGGAGTATTGGATGTTGTGGTGACAGTGGTATTGGTGTTGGGATAGTGATGGAGTGATGGATGTTGTGGTGACAGTGGTGTTGGTGTTGGGATAGTGAAGAAGTAATGGATGGTGGTGGTGATAGTGATGGTGGTATTGGGATAGTGATGAAGTGACGGATGGTGGTGGTGATAGTGATATTGGTGTTGGGATAGTGATGGAGTGATGGATGGTTGTGGTGATAGTGATATTGGTGTTGGGATAGTGATGGAATGATGGATGGTTGTGGTGATGGCAATGTTGGTGTTGGAATAGTGATGGAGTGATGGATATTTGCGGTGGTAGTGATGTTAATATTGGAATAGTAATGGAGTGATGGATGGTTGTGGTGATAGTTGTGTTGGTGTTGGGATAGTGATTGAGTGATGGATGGTGGTGGTGATAGTGTTGTTGGTTTTGGGATAGTGATAAAGTGAAGCATCTTTTTAGTGACAGTGATGGTGGTAACATCAAGGATGATGATGGAAGTAGTGGAGGTTAAAGTGTGGTTTGTTGGTGAAGTTTGTGATAAATATGGTGGTAAAGTTGGAAGAAGTGATAGAGGTGCTTCTACCATTAGGTTAATTTTATGGCAGTGATGTTGATACTGGTGGTTGTAATGTTGGTGATGTCAGTGGTAGAGATGCTATTGCTGGTGGTGGTGGTGTTCACAGTATTTTTGACAGAGATGAAGCTGGTGGTGATGATGGTGGTAAAGATGGTAGTAGTGATGGTGGTGGCTTGGCTGTGTGGGGGACCTGAGGGAGTGGCATTGATGTTGGCAGTGGTGACAGTGACCTGCAGAGGTGGTAAGCATTGATTGGTGGTGGTGGTCATCATGGTGGAGGTGCCAGTTAGTGTTGTAATTGAAATAGAAAGATAACCTAGAGATGAGTTAGCACACTACCTTTGTAAAAAACAGCTTTATTGAGATACAGTTAGCATGCCATAGCATTCCCTATTTTAAGTGTATGATTCAGTGGTATTTCATATGTTTACAGAGATGTGCAGCCGTAGCCATAATTGTAAACATTTGCATCACCCCACAGAGAAAGCTTGCAACCACTGGCTGCTGCTCCCATCCTCTCCCACTACCTTTTAAGTCTGTTTTTAAACCTTATAGTTTGGGGACCTGCAAGCTATGAAACTGAAAGTATATGTTCCCTTTATAAGAAACACATCTCACTTCTTCCTCAGGTGCAACAATTTATTCTGCATGAAAACTATAGATCATATTAGCACCCTGAAAAAAAAAGATGTAAAAACACTACTACCATCAAATAACGCATAACTCTACTCCATATATTTCATTTCAAAATTGGAATATTAAGAAAAATAGAGGAGAGCTCTCTTGTTTGTTCCTTGTGATATAATCCCTTAACTTACCCTATGATATTGCACATCTGGAAGAATAATAATCAAAAAAGCCCTATCTCATTAACAGCCAATTGAAACATGGACTTAAAAAATAAGATGGTCATCTACTTCTGGGACTTGAGTTCAATAAATAAACTTAGAAACAGAGAAACTATATTGTGAAGGTGTCTAACATAGCATTTGTGGTAGTAAATAAACCTGGAAACAATAATATCCCCAACAATTAAAAAAAGGTTAAATAAAATAAAACATCAATATGATGGAATATGATATTTAAAGACTATGAAGTAAAGATGGGAATATAATCATAATAGCATATTAAATGAAGAAGAAAAACTCAGACACTAAATTGTACAGGCTACAAACACAGCTATGTGGGGCAAAACACTTTACTTTAGATAAATAGACTGAAATGCATCAAAATGTGAATAGAATTGCATTGGATAGAAATGGTGGTTGTTTACTTTTATTATAAAACAAAATGAGATAATTATTCCACACAATATTTTGCAGAAGTATCAACTAAGAAAAAATAAGCTTTATTTTAGAACCACAGGACTGAAATGTAGTTCTTCTAAGAAAAATGTAAAGAATTTTCTTTTTCTTTTTAACAAAATATTGAAATGGAACAGAACAAAAACACCTGCGTTGTCTATTATAGTTAAGCTAGTTAGGATGGGTTTTCACCCATGGAGAGGAAACAAGGGAAGATTTCTCCTTTCTACCTGTACAAACAGATCACAGGCAGGATTAATCCCCCCAAACTGGAGGAACTACATGTCAGCAAGCAGGTCCCTTCATTCTTGTGGAGGATTTAGCTAAATTGGTGGCTCTATGAAAACACTTTCTCACAGGCATTTGACTTTACTGTCTACTCTTCTTGACCTGACTCCACAGCCCCCATACTGTGAATCCAACTTGCTGTCTTAGGGAGGCTTAAAGCCTCACCGGGAGCCAGTTGAACAATTAGAATATTTAATGGATGTAAATCTCATTTAAAAAATAATATTATTTTATTTGGGTCACTATATCTAACATTAAAACACTAGGTAAAATAGGGGAAATCTCTTTGTTGGTAAATTTGACTTATAGGTGACGTTTACAGGGAAATTCATTTGATTAATTAATTAGGTCACATAAATGTAATTCAGTGGTTGCAGCAAAACAATTTTCACATAGAGTAATTGAATTTTCAAAACATAGAATCTTGAAATCTATTTCTAAACAGTGAGAAAAGCCATAGCTCATCAATGCAAAAGCCAGCACATCTGTGGATTCAGAGGAGCATAGACATTTGTTTATAATAAAAAAGGTATGAGCTCTTCCACCAGGGTCTAACTCCGAGCCAACAGATACAAATAAATAAATGGTTTACGCGACTGTTTCACTGACACCTGCTGGCACCATGAATATACTAAATTAGATTGGCTGTTGGGAAAAGCAAGTGGAGTCCAAGAAAACCATAAATGGAGAAACTTGCTGTGAAAAACAAAAATGATTTTACTGCTCTTGGATAAGTCAGACTTACTACTAATGACAGGCTGAGGCATGGAATCCCCTGGGAAGTTATTATTAGGCAATCCATAAGTGTTTGCTGAATCCATCAATGCTGTTCATCAGCTCGAAACCTTCTTCTGACTTCTCATTGTCTGCCCTCCCCCGGTCACATTTGGCAGGTTTTCAAGGTCTTGCTCCACTCTGTCCGTTCCCTCCTGACTTACCGCTGGGCAGGTGTGCACCCTTTGCAGGCTCCACTCACCCCATCCTCCTTCTACTTCTCTGAGCCGTGCCCCGCCACCTCCCCCCCTCCGTCAAGCCCACCTGGGCTCTGAGTCTTCCCACCACTTCAGACCACCCATACTCACACTTTCTAGATGCCTGCTGGCCTTCACTTTCTTACCATGCATTTCCACACTTCATAGTTCTCTACAGGTTCTTAAGTGCTTATTTCCTCTCTGCAGGTCGATTATAAACACTTTCAGGACGGAGAAAGCTTTCAGAGGCTTGAGAGATCCAGATCCATAGTTTGTACTTAAATGTATGTGTGTACGTGTATATGTATATACATACATATGTACATGTATACATACATACACATGTATGTGTGTATGTATACATACACGCATACACATAAACACACATATCTGTTGACTGCCTGAAAGTCTACAAAACCTTTATTCCCTAGAGCCTCATCTTGGTGGCATTCGCATATCTTTTTTTACTTTTTGAGACTGAGTCTTGTTCTGTCACCCAGGCTGGAGTGCAGTGGGGCAATCTCAGCTCACTGCAACCTCCGCCTCCCGGGTTCAAGTGATTCTCCCATTTTAGCCTCCCAGGTAGCTGGGACTACAGACACCCACCACCATGCCTGGCTAATTTTTGTATTTTTAGCAGAGACGGGGTTTCACCATGTTGGCCAGGCTGTTCTTGAACTCCTGACCTCAAGTGATCCGCCCACCTCAGCCTCCCAAAGTGGTGGGATTACAGGTGTGAGCCACCGCGCCCAGCCTTATACCATCCTTGAAAAGGCTCTGGTTTCTAAATGAGTCCTACGCATCAGCCTAAATCCTACTTTGACCTGGTGGACCATCTTCACATCAGCAGGGTGGAGTTAGCACCAGCCTCTCTCTTGCCCCACATTTAATCACCCCCAAATCATTCCAGAATGATTCGGGGCTTCATGAAAGAGATTACCTTCCTATTGGGTGTGCACTCACCTTCCCATGCCAGTTTTCAACCTGGAAACACTGTGATTCTGGGATATTTCCTTAGAATGTAAGCTCCATGAGGACGGGGGTCTTTTCTTTTGTCTTCTTACATTTCCAAACTCAATTCTATTCCCTGGTGCCTGGAACAAGGCCTGGCACACAGCAGCGAGCCCGAGAGTTCTTGCTGGGTGCAGGCCTGAGGGTCAGTCTCACCCGGTCGTAAGCGTACCTGGAGACGCCACAAACATGATCTGTATTTTGACACTTTCTCGCCAGTTAGACAAGTCAACCAGTACATCATGAAGGACAGAATGAGAGCGCAGGCTCTGGGGCCCAACACCCATGTTCAGATTCCGCTCCTGCCATGCATACTCAGGTGACCTCCTGTGTCCATTGACGGTCCAGTGGCTCAGAGGGGCTGGGAGGGCCGGATGCATTCACAGGTAAAGGAAGGGTGCCTGGCACAGACCAAGTTGCACTGTACGTGGGTTTGCGGCTGCTACCGGACCACCGCCCCAGCATCGTGGCGATGACTCCACTTTATTTCTGCTTTCCTACGTGGGTGTGGGCGTTGATTTCGCTCTTGTCCTACCTCAAGACTTCTTTAGTGTGTTCTTTTCTCTCCTGTTTAGGCTCCCAAGAAACATTTGCAAAATGGGATTATCCGTGGCTACCAAATAGGTTACCGAGAGTACAGCACTGGGGGTAACTTCCAATTCAACATTATCAGTGTCGACACCAGCGGGGACAGTGAGGTTTACACCCTGGACAACCTGAATAAGTTCACTCAGTACGGCCTGGTGGTGCAGGCCTGTAACCGGGCCGGCACGGGGCCTTCTTCTCAGGAAATCATCACCACCACTCTCGAGGATGGTAGGTTCGGCCGGGGCCTGGTCGTGGCTTTTCCCTCCGCAAAGGTTCCCTCGGGTCTGCCCCGGGGCTCCCCCAACCTCGCACTCCCCCGCCCCACGACTTTGCAGTGACCTGCAGGGCCTGGGGTCTCGGGTGGAAAAGCCTTCCCTCGTGACCTCGCCCACCCCGCTGATCTGCCCGCCCTGGGGCAGGGCTGGACTGCAAAGCCAGCAAGTCCCTCCCTTTTCAGACTCTTCCTCATTCATTTCAGGTACAAGAATTGGGCTTTTCTGGAGTGAAAACAAGGCTCTCTCTATTACTGCAGAAGTCTCACGAGAATGCAGAAATGCTATTTGCTAAAAAACTTTCTCCCAAATGTTAAGAAGGTTTTTTAAAATTTATTTTATTTTTCATTGTTTCCTATTTTCAAGCATTCTGAGTACAGAGAAAAGGAATTTTCAGATTGCACAGTGATCGATCGCCCCCTAGCGGCCGAGATAAATTAATTAGCCCTTCCACCATGTCACTGAGAATAACCCAGAAGCTCAAATTTCCAGTAGTGCTTGAAAATAGAGAACCCTGGTATCCAGAGGCACAGTGTTTTAGGCAGGAAGTTAAGATATGGGGTTATTTGTAGCAATAAGTGGTAGCTTTGAAGGCAGGAAGCTGGCACTACATTTACCTCTTGTGCAGTTAGTCATTTGATCATAGATTTTTTTTTGAGACGGAGTCCGGCTCTCTCTCCCAGGCTGGAGTGCAGTGGCGCGATCTTGGCTCGCTGCAAGCTCCGCCTCCCGGGTTCACGCCATTCTCCTGCCTCAGCCTCCCGAGTAGCTGGGACTGCAGGCACCCGCCACCACGCCTGGCTAATTTTTTGTATTATTAGTAGAGACGGGTTTTCACCGTGTTAGCCAGGATGGTCTCGATCTCCTGACCTCGTGATCTGCCCGCCTCGGCCTCCAAAAGTGCTGGGATTAGAGGCGTGAGCCACCGCGCCCGGCCCTTGATCACAGGTTTGCGGAGGCAGATAGGACTTGCACCTGTAATATCTGACAATTTTTGCGAGGAGAGGAGTCTTCAATGACTTGCAGCCTGAACACTGGAATTGTCTATCTTCATAATTGCAATAGTCGTTAAATATGCCTTTGTTTTTGCTTCAATGCTCATTTTTCATTAAGATGCGTGTCTCAGCCAGTATTTTGCACCGCCCCAGCGCCAACATTTAAGGTTTACAAAAGCTCAGTACTAAAAATATTTTCAATATTCTTCTGACCTGTCTATGGTCTCTCTTCCCTCTAGAGAAAGGGATGAGGATGAGACAGGAGAAATCTATGATTATGTTTCTACTTTTTAGCACTTTACAATGGTTCAGCTTCCAATTTATATGCCAGATATTACTAAATACAGAGGTACCGTACTCTATAAAGTAAATGCAACTTAAAGAAGTAACTTCCAAGAGTAAGGGGAAAATAAATCAGACAAACAATGATTTTCTACTCAGGCAATAAAATTAAGAAGGGTACACGACTCAAGTCCCAACAACTGTCCTAAAAGTAAAGAAACTAAGTTGGAAAGAGAGACTATGGAATCCATTAGAATATATGCATTGACTCATGATATTTTACTGAGCACTGAGTTATCATAAGATTTTTCCAGGGAAGTGATCTTTGTTATTTTTTCTTTCATTTTGGGGTTGAGTGCAATTTTTTGCTTGCATATTGAAATATTAAAATACGTTGCTTTTTCGGTTATTGCTTTGCTCATAAACCACCCACAGTTATTACAGATTCTAATTATTTGATTTCAGTGCCCAGTTACCCCCCCGAAAATGTCCAAGCCATAGCAACATCACCAGAAAGCATATCAATATCCTGGTCCACACTTTCCAAGGAAGCCTTGAATGGAATTCTCCAGGGGTTCAGAGTCATTTACTGGGCCAACCTCATGGACGGAGGTAAGAGGACTAAACTAGGACTTTGGGTTTGCCTCCAGAGAATGCATGATGGAATTTGCAGACCCCTCCTAGTTCCTAACAAGGGGCTCAGGATATGGCGGGCACCTCTTTATCAATAGACACTTTCCCCTTTTCTGTCATCCCTCATCTGACATTTGAACAGGTCTCTTTGTTTAAAACATCACACACCTTCGAAACCCAAGTTGAAGCCTAGGCGGGGGCGGCACTTGGGAAATTTCAACATGGATGTATTTTCCTAATTATGTCTATGTCAAGGCTCTGCAGGCAGCACCAAAACCTCCATCTCTATCTAGAACATTCTGTGTGATATGTATTCTAAAATGTTGGCCTCTTCCTACTTCCCAAATAGAACTCCGCGGGGAAACGTTAAATTTCCTGTAGTTGTGCTGTAAGTGGGTGTGGGAAGAGTGCCCAGGCACATGGAGGGGGGCACTCAGGAGGGGGCCAGGAAGTTCAGGGCCCTCCCGTTTTGTCTCCTGTTTCTCTTTCTCCTCTTCCTTCCCCTTCTCCTCCTCTCTCTTTTCCTTGTTCTTTATCGTGTGTGTGTGTGTGTGTGTGTGTATTTCAAGTGGTAGGGCAAAATGTTCCTGTTTGTTTAGGGCAAGGCTTTGAATAAACGACTTTCTCAAGTGGACATAAGATTGGGGCCACAAGTTTCTTGCAGCAACACCTCAGTGTCTTCGCCCTCAGGCTGCGAGTGGTGCCCACCAGGCTGGGCCGGGCTGCGTGAGTGTGCTGGGGCAGAGCGAGGCTGCAGCCCCCAGCAGGAAAGGCCTCTGGAAGCCTGCTCACTGTCTCTGTCCCAAGCCTGGGGGGCCCACACCTGCCTCCTCCCCTGCCCTCCATTTCCAGCCCCCTCCTGCACCCCCCGTCACTGGACAGTACCTTCCCTCTTGTTTGGGGTTTCTTTTCTTTTTTTGAGACAGGGTCTCCCTCTGTCACCCAGGCTGGAGTGCAGTGGCACGATCTCAGCTCACTGCAACTCTCCACCTCCCCGGGCCCAAGCAATTCTCCTGCCTCAGCCTCCCAAGTAGCTAGGATTGCAGGCGTGCACCACCACACCTGGCTAATTTTCAGTATTTTTAGTAGAGATGGGGTTTCGCCAGCTTGGCCAGGCTGGTCTTGAACTCCTGGCCTCAAGTGATCTGCCCACCTTGGCCTCCCAAAGTGCTGGGATTACAGGCGTGACCCACCACGCCCAGCCTGGGGCTTCTTTCAACCCCTCTGACTGGGTGTGATCCCTGATGAGTGCTCACCTCTAATTTTGGGCAAATGCGGTCAAGGACCTATCCCTTCCCTGCTCAGGACCACCTGGATCTGTTCTACCAGGCAGACCCCTGTCCCCATGCAGGTAAACATAGGGCTCCACAGGTGGCAGCAGCCTCCACGGTTGGTGCAACAGTAAAGGCAAGAAGACACATGAGCAGCACAAGCATTACTGGCTCAGCGAGCATAGGCCTTTGAGCCTTAGCTCTGCATGTCCCTAACTGTGTCCCTAACATGTGTTTCTCAGGACTGAGAGCAGACCTCATGCCTTTGTTGCCACATGTAGTACCTGGAGCACTACCAGCCATGGGAGGCAATCTAGAAGGACCCCCCCCCGCCCTCCTTGGTCCTGCAGTAGACACATTTGCCAAACACCCACTCGACACTGAGCTCATGGGAAACACCAAGGTTGCTGTGTCTGTCCCTGTGGAGGTTCCAGACCAGTGACCGAGGGAGATGCTAATGAATACAGAACCACAGACCCAAGAAGGGACAGCCCCACAGAAGGGCAGATTTAAGTAGATGATTCTGTAACACCTTCACCCCTCCCACCTAAACACAAGTTTTAAAACACCCCAGAGTAAAGAGCAATGAAAATTTGCAAAAGTCATCTATTTTTATGGACAAAATACCATAGGATATCATTACATATGTTTCTTCTGATTTCTACTCCTTATATTGAGTGGATGAAATTAAATACCCTTAATGTTCTTTGAAAGGCAGTGTTATGCTAAGATGTCTTTTCTGTTCTTATTGGAAATATTTCAGAATCCAGTGGTGACTTCATCCACATCACCCATATTTTCTAAGCTCACTCACATTTGCTAGCATTGCCTGCTGGTATCTTCATTCTAAAATGAAAGATGTGGCTTCATACCTTTAAAGCTTTGAAAACTTGAATATTCAAAAACATAATTCTTTAAACAAAGAAATGCTTGGGAGTGTGCATGCAGCTTTTTAAAGATACTTTCACTCATGGGATTAAAATCAAAGTGATGAGATAAATGTGCGATGTAGAAGTCTGCACTTCATTTCCGAAAGATAAGCAAGAAACCTTCAGAAACATGAACCTGCCTGCGAATGGTCACTCTTCCTGCTACCTGAGAGATTTCGTTTATGAGGCAGGTCAGTTCACGGGGCTACTGGACACTTTTGCACAAACTCCCCAGACTGCAGCCTCCGGGACTGGCTGGATTCCCACAGACACTGAGCAGGAAGTGACTGCTGACCGACACCACATACACGTGCGCACACACCACACATACATGCACCCCACATACACCACACACCACACATACCACACACACACCTCACAAACATCACATACCACACCACACCCACACATATCCCACACTCACCACACACACCACACCTCACACACCCCACATGCACACACAACACACATACACACACCCCACATACACCACACATACCACACCACGCATACCACACACACACACCACACATACACCACATATCACACCACACACACATCCCTCATATACCACACGCCACATGACACACACCCCTCATACACATACACAAACTGCATGTACATCACCCACCACATGACACACACTCCATATACACCACATACCACACCACACGTACACAAACACCACATACACCTATGAAAGGAAAATATCTTTTTGGCCCCCAAAATCACTAAGGAAAAGTCAAGCTGGAAACTGCTCAGGGCCAACCTGCCTCCCATTCTATTCAAAGTCACCCCTCTGCTCACTGAGAT
Organism: Homo sapiens; assembly: GCF_000001405.40. Classification (NCBI taxonomy): domain Eukaryota; kingdom Metazoa; phylum Chordata; class Mammalia; order Primates; family Hominidae; genus Homo; species Homo sapiens. Next base: position 279,177 of record NW_025791814.1, on the reverse strand, counting down.
AGATGCATATTTGATGGCCTCCTTTGGAAAGGCTGATCAGAAACTCAGAAGAACGCAACCCTTCCCCTCTCACCTACCTGTGACCTGTAAGTCCCCTCCCCGCTTCCTGTCTTCTTGCCTTTGCTTCAGGTTGTCCTGCCTTCCAGACCGAACCAATATACTTCTTACCTATATTGATTGATGTCTCACGTCTCCCTAAAATGTATAAAACCAAACTGTGCCCCGACCACCCTGGGCACGTGTTGTCAGGACCTCCTGAAGCTGTGTTGTGGGTACGTCCTCAACCTTCGCAAAATAAACTTTCTAAATTAACTGAGACCTGTCTCAGGTTTTCAGGGTCCACATACCACACCACACACACCCCACATACACCATGTACCACACCACATGTACACACCACACATACACACACCACACACCACACCACACATCCCACATACTCATGCATACACACACCACACATACATACACACACACACAACACACACTACACACACACTACACACACACCACACATACACCACACACCATAACCCCAGGCACATCTCACATACACCACACACCACACCACACACACCCCATATACACCATGTACCACACCACACATACACACCACACACACCACACTTACACACCACACACACCCCACATATACATGCACACACACCACACATACACCCCACATACACCACACACCACACCACACGTACACACACCACACATACCACACATACACATACCCCCCATACACTGCACACTATGCCACACATACAGCCCACATATACTGCACACCACATACATACACACCACACACACCACACATACACCACACACCACACCACACATACACCACATATCACACCACACACACCCCCCACACACACGTACCCCACATACACCACACACTCACCACACACACCTCACCTACACCACATACCACACCACACACACCCCGTATATGTCACACACCACACATACACAAACCCCACATACACCACACACACTCCGCATACATATGCACACACACACACCACACACACCCCCAATACACCACACACTACACCACACATACACACACACCACACCACGCACACCCCACACGCACCCCCCACATACACCACTCACCACACCACACATCACACAACACATGTAACACACCCCATGCTACTCACAACATATACCTCATACACACAGCACACACATACACCATACACACACACCACGCACACAGGTACACACACACCATGCACATCGCATACCACAAACACCACACACACCCCCCACACATTCACACAGGCTGAGAGGGGCAAATATTGTTACTACCACTGTAATTAGCAATAGCCCGAATACTTTCCAAAATACGTCTAAGAAAGAATTCTGTTGTTAATGTGGTCAGATGAAATAAAACTGGTTAGTATATTTGATAGGGAAGGTTAAATAAACAATATTTTGATGAATTTTCTGATTTTTTTTTCATGGTCAGAAAGTTAAATCATGGTTAAGGCCTGAAAGAAACAATTTATTTGAGATTGCTAGGAAAGTTGTATCCTTTGAAAAGTTACCATTTTCCTCTGAATTTTTGCTAACTTCCATCTCATCCATCTTTCTTCATGGAAAAAATGGTACATTCTGAAAGGAAGCAACAATTAGGTGCCAACTGGAGTGTGTGGGCAGCTGAGGCTTGCTTCAGAAGCTATTCCCGCACCTATTGTTTTCTGCCTTAAAACCCTCTGAGGATGAGGCAAGATATAAATACACAAAACTGTTTTGTTTAAAACAAAATTTTTAATAGAAAAAATCTGATTTCTAAATTTATTTTATATATTTTTTTAATTTTATTTCACTCATGACCTCAACTGAACAATACACTTCAGTTAATGTGTGTGTGTGTGTGTGTGTGTGTGTGTGTATGTGTGTGTGTGTGTATTAAACAGCCCTACAGAGGCATGAAAGCTAGACTGTAGAAACTCATGTTTAAAAAGAAAAAGCGTTAAAAAGAATGGCAAACTAAACACTCAGTTTTGTATCTGGCTTTCTTCTTTTTCATTCTTTGCTTTTTATTTCTTCCATATCTGCTAGTCACCTAGTATCTGTCATCAGGAAAATAGCCTTCCTTCACAGCCTATGAGGCGTTCTAGCAGATAGAGCCAACTGTGGCTCAGGTAGTTTTAGAAATCTTAAAATTGGGATTTTGACTGCCTTTGTCTTCATAAATTAGTTAATCAAAATAACTTGAACCCCCCCCAATGTTAATTCTAATTAGTATATTAACCATTAGCATTTTTAATCATTTTGTTTTAAGTGTTTGCTTTTTTTTTTTTTTTTTTTTCCTTGAGACAGAGTCTCGCTCTGTCGCCCAGGCTGGAGTGCAGTGGTGCGATCTCGACTCACTGCAAGCTCCACCTCCCAGGTTCACGCCTTTCTCTTGCCTCAGCCTCCCCGAGTACCTGGGACTACAGGTGCCCACCACCACGCCAGGCTAATTTTTTGTATTTTTAGTAGAGATGGGGTTTCACCGTGTTAGCCAGGATGGTCTCGATGTCTTGACCTCGTGATCCACCCGCCTTGGCCTCCCGAAGTGCTGGGATTACAGGCATGAGCCACTGCACCGGGCCAAGTGTTTGCTTTCTTTAAGAAGATCAGAGAGGCCAGGTTGTCCTTCTCCCTCCCCACCAGGCTCCTCTTCCTCATTCTGTCTGATTCAAGAGTTGCATTCTGATTCAAGTATTTGCCGGAGGGTCACAGCTTTCTCCTATATTGTGAAATGATCCTACTTTTTCTGTGAGGTGGACACCCTGCACTCTTGGGAAAAAAAGACCTTCATCAGAGTCTCATAACCAGCTACCAGCACCCTGCCCTGATCAGCCCCTCCCCTCAGCTGTATTTTTATTGATTGCGTGTGTATATATCTGTAGGGATGTACGTGTGTGATCTTTGACAGTGAAGTTTCTAAATCTGAAAAGATCTTAATGAGTTCTATATTTAAAGTTTGTCCATTAGCATATGAGTTTTTAATTAGTTTGTTTAAAGACAGGGTCTGGCTCTATCCTTCAGGCTGGAGTGCAGTGGCACAATCACAGCTCACTGCAGCCTCCAGTTCCTGGGCTCCACCGATCCTCTCACCTTGAGCTACTTGGGAGGCTGGGACCACAGGCATGAGCCATCATGTCTGGTTACATTTGGGTTTTTATCCTAATCCAAAAGACTTATGTTAAATATAATCAGGAAAAGGAATATAATTGAATATGGAAAGACCCGTCCTTCAGAGATGAGAATTTCCAATCCATCTGGGACAACCAAGTATTGATATTTTGACTACCTGGTGACCACACATGCTCACACAGTCTCCTCATTTTCGTAAGCCCTCCGTTGAGATTTCCAAATTGTGACCTTTAACAGCTGGCACCCTGCTGGCCTCCCTAGAAGACAGGAGTCCAAAGGCCTGTCTTTGGGCCATCCTCGCCCTGCTCCCTCCCCAGCAAAGCCCCAGCCTACAGAACTGTCTGCTTCTGGTGCTCCCAGGCCTTTGGCTCCCACTGGGGCCTGGACTGTGGGAGCCACATGGAGCCCCTTTACCCCTCTTCTTGCAACTCCTAGAAGGCACAGGGGCTCTCTGGCATGTGAGGGACAGGCCTCAGCCATCCCATGCAGTATTTGCCATGCTCCTTTAATGCTGTATCCGTTCCACATTGATCTTTTTGGTGACAAAAAAAAGATGAACAAAAGATGTTCCACAGTCATCGTAATCACAAAATACATGGCTATTCATTTGTGAACCTCCATGCAATATCCTGGACACACAAAATACGTGGCTATTCATTTGTGAACTTCTGTGCAATATCCTGGACACACAAGAGAAAAGAAAAACAATGAGCAGGAAGGAAAACCAAGACAGGCAAAAAGCAAAAGCCCGTTTAATCTGGCCGACACGACGGCTCGTGGGTGCCTCCATTTTCAGCCCATTTTCTGCTTTTTCCCAGAGCGACTGAGGAGAGCAGCTGAGATCCGCGGCCTGTGCCCTCAGCCACTGTGCTGGGCTCCTTGATCCTCTCTGTCCCTCGACTTCCTTGTCTGTAAAATGAATGGGTTGAAAAAGTAATTGAATAACTCTGCTGGTTGTATAAGTTACTATCTGTACTTAGAATAGCATAGCGCTGGCACCTAGGCAGGCATGCATATCACATCCACTCCCTATATGGAGGCCAGGGAGAGTGAGAGGGATTGACAAGCAGCTGGATTGTCAGTTGACGAGCAGGTCTGCCAAATCAGAGCTGTTCAACAAGGAACTCCCCAGACCTGCTGGTCTCTTGGGGTAACCGGCCTGCTCTGGGTGCCAATGTGTCGCTGACAGCCCCTTCCCCTAGGGGAACAGTTCTCAGGCCCTTCTCATGCTCTGAAGGCGACTCATTTCAAAACCCATCAGCCAAACACCAAGGAAGTACTTAGCACAACATTCGTAAGTTTTCTCAAATTGCCGTGTATCATATGCTGGAGTTGAGAGCGCATAGTGTTCCATCTGTGAATGTTATTAGTTGATCCCACTCCTGAAAGTGAAGCATTTTTAGCTGACACCAAGTTTCTGACACATGGGCATGTCACTTCAGGATTGAAGCTGAGAGGAGTTCACTCCAGGTAAAAAGAGGGGTTGGCTGAGCCACTCAGTTTAGCTCAGGTGTATTTTTTTCTTATTTAAATATGTTATCTTTTCAGCTTTATTAAGGTATAATTGACAAATAAAAATTGCATATATTTCAGACATGCAGCTTGTTTTGATGTATGTATCCAATGTGAAATGCTCGCCACAATCAAGCAAATTAACAGCAGGTCCACCATCTCACATAGTTGCCATTTTCTTCCTCCACCCCCAAATGATACAAAGTTTCAGTTATGCAAGATGAATAAGTTCTGGAGATCTAATGTACAAAGTGGTGACTATAGTTAAAGACACTGTCTTATAGACTTGAAACTTGCTGAAGAGGGTAGATCAGATATTTGGGATGAAGTTAGGTACTTAAAAATACATGTATGTTAAAGTAGAGCTTGTTTAAAATAACAATAAAACCCCTCAGCTTGCAGAAGCTTCCTAATGAATAGTCGGCAGTGGGGCTGCCAAGTGTGCAGCGTGTGTGTGCCGCCCTAAGTGTGCTGCTAGGGGTGCAGGGGACATTGCTCATTAGCACCTGCTGAAGGGTGAGTGACAGCCCTGGTGCTGGCCTTGGGTTGATAACACTTAACTTGGAGCGAATTACTTCGTTTTCCAGACCAACGTTCTGCCTTGTGTTCTGGAGCAGTTTGGTGTGAATGTTCTTTTCCAAAGGGCCACGTGACACCATGAGCTCACAGGATGACTGTGCACAGTCCCTTTGAGAATTCTCGCGTCCAGATGATGGCTGGACGGGTGATGGCATGGCACAGGGACAGTCAGTGGGGACAGTGCGGAAAAACGAGCAGAAATGGGCTCAGAAGTGGGATTTTGTTTTCTTGTTCTTGTCCTCCAGAGCTGGGTGAGATTAAAAACATCACCACCACACAGCCTTCACTGGAGCTGGACGGGCTGGAAAAGTACACCAACTACAGCATCCAGGTGCTGGCCTTCACCCGCGCAGGAGACGGGGTCAGGAGTGAGCAGATCTTCACCCGGACCAAAGAGGATGGTGAGAGACGGGTGGGCGGTGGGTCCCAGCAGTTGCTGGAAGGGCTGGGTCACAGAGAGCTCACTTGCCTTTACCCTGCAGTTCATCAGGCTATTCTCAGTGCAAACCTTTGCTGCCCTCCCAAAATATCCCAGTGCAATTCAGACCATTAACTTCCTCTCTTGCCTTTGCTTGATGTGTCTAATCCATTGCTTCTTCTTCCTCTATATTTTTTCTTCTTTCTTTTCTTTTTTTTGTTTTTTGGTTTTTTTGGCCAAGTATTATTGTAAATAGAAACTCATTTTATCCTAGAGCTGTAATACTTGTCATACATGTTTTGTATCTTGTTAGAATAATTTTAGTAGCTATTCAGCTATTAGTGTAAACTCTGATTAAATCCATCCTTCCACTTCTTGAAAATTATGTACAGACTGAAGTTCTATTATTCTTTGCCAGCTGAATCACTTTAGAATAAGTCCTTAATTTGAGAACTTCATGTTAATTTTTTTTAATTCTTGCAAGAATTCATGGTGATTTAGTAAAAATTTAAATTGCTGCTCATTTTGTTCTACAACAATAATTCTTGCTGTTCCTTACAATTTGGATTGGGTTGTGACTATTACCCAAACGTACAAAAACCATACAACAAAGGTTCTGTATTATTTTAAGGGAAACTCTGAGGGGCCTTGGCCAAGCCTGTTTAAGGAACAGATAAGTTCTGATAAATACTACCGTGGTAGTGAGAAAAGTAGCCTCCACCTTAATAAAGGAAGGAGCAACTGATGTCAAATTGATGCCCACATAGAACCTTCCCAAAATATTCCAGCACAGAAGTATACATTGAGATGAGACATTAGCAGATCTAAATGCTGTGCTGGATTGTCTCTGCAACTTTTGTCTTCTTGCCGGGACTCTGTTCCCCAAGCAGTACAGGGGCGGGAAAGCTGTTGGCCATTGCTGGTCACCTCCTGTGTATGGGCAGGTTTGATGTCTATGCTATCTCCCCCACTACTAGAGTATCAAAAATGCTGTTATTCCATCCCATATCTGCTCTGATGGAAGCAAAGAACACCTGCTCAGGGGCCATGATACGCTCTTCTCTTCAGCCTTTCTGCCCCTGACAATGACTCCCTGTTATTCTGAGCCTGCCATCTTCCACGTCACTCTCTGCTCTCACCTTGGCAAGCCAGGCCTTGCTCCTCCGAGCAGCCCCAGGCATCCACTCTCACCTGGTGTTTTTGCTGCCTCTGTAGCCCTTCTCACATTGTAATGTCTACACCCAAACTAATCCTCATTTGCTTTAGTTTTTTTCTAAAATGCACAGGTAGTCCTTCCAGGGAATGTGCAGGTGTCAGCCAGTTCTGCTCTAAGAAATTGGATTATTTAGGGAATCTAAGGTTCAAATGTAATGCCATTAGGAAGTCACACATCAATAGAGATATCTAGAAAGCTAAGTCCTGAGTGAAGGCAGCCATAATTTAATTTTTTAAAAATGTAACAGACAAACAGCTGTGCAAATGCTGGCTCTGTCACCTGCTGCCCGTGGGTCTTTGGGCACCTTACCTAAGTGTCTCTGAACTGGATTGTCCTCAGGGACAATCTGCTGTAGCCATCAGACTGCACAGAACCAGTGTATGAGAGCTGAAGTGGTGTCTGAAAACACCTGCTTGCCACAGAGTGGGATGCTTCCTGACCCTCAATATTTGATTATTTGCTCTCCACTCCTTCAGAGTAGGGGTGAAATACTCCTTTTTACATTGCTAGGCAATAATGCAAATGTCACTGGAATTATTATTTAAAGAGCAAATTGATCATCCACAAAATGTTTTGCATCTGCATTTTTGGAAGAATGTACAGAAATCCAATAAGAAGGGAAGGCTCTTCACAGATCCTTATTAACTCACAATTTTAGATCAATTTTTAATTAATATTGGAGTTTTAAGAATCATGGAGTTCTGTCTCAAAACTTGACCCCAAGGCCCAAGGTCTAATTTGTCAATCAATTATGCTTTGCTTTTGTCTCCAGTGCTGATAGTGTATGGAGCTGGGATTGACTATCGAAAACCCTGCCTTGGGTACCCCAGTTACCCCAAGGAAGATGCCATGAATCCCACTTTTGCTGGTGGTATGGGACAAGGACTATGCAGAACTGAGTGTCAATATTTCTTTAGGATAAGTCTGCATTTTCAAAAAGAAGTGGAGTGGTGGATCGCTTGAGGCCAGGAGTTCGAGACCAGCCTGGCCAACATGGTGAAACCCTGTCTCTACTAAAAATGCAAAATTAGCCAGGTGTGGTGGTGGGCACCTCTAATCCCAGCTACTCGGGAGGCTGAGGCAGGAGAATCACTTGAACCCAGGTGGCAGAGGCTGCAGTGAGCTGAGATCGTGCAACTGCACTCCAGCCTGGGTGACGGATCGAGACTCTGTCTCAAAAAGAAAAAAGAGGTGGAGTGAAGATTGGGTGGAAGAAGAGAAGAACTAGAATAATATCACTTCATCTCCCAGGTTCACATGAAAAATTCAATAATTTAGAAACGGTGAAGAATTGTGTCAACCACTTTTGTAGACTCAATACCTAATATAATTAGGCATTTCAGCAGTTTACAAAATTAAATGCTATTTTATTTATCTGATTGGAAGAAGGGACAAAGGACAATTCAGAGAACAAATGCCCAGTCAAATTGATTACAGATCGTATTTATACTTCAATGAGAAAGCTTTGTAATTTTGAAGTTTGGATTACACTTACAATTTCAATTAAATTGTGTAAAAATACAGATAGATTTCCAGTAAAATAATAATTACCAACATTTGCTCAGTTCTTTCTCAATAAGATACTATTTTAGGCTCAGGTTGAAGTTTCAGCGTTTATCAACGTTCTTGCAAGCGAAGAAAGATAGCTACATTAACAGCGAGCATCCGATTCAGTTGTCTATGCCAGACACACGTCCTGTACCAGTCTTCCTAATCTAGGGAGCCTGGAGGCTTAAACTGTGTTATTAGGTCACTGGTCATACTAAAAAGAGAAACTTAACCCTAATAAAGGCAAAATTGTACTTTTGCAAGGGATTATTTGCAATAGAAATATTTGTTTAGAGGACAAGTCTGTGCTTGTTCTCTACAGGTAGTTTCTCTACCACTATCTAAAGATTCTTGGGCTCATAGTCATATTCACAGTTCCATGGACACATTCTCATGTCTGTGGTCATAATCTCAGGGCCATGGACATAGTCTCTTATCCATAACTATAGTCTCCGGTGCATGGACATATTCTCATGTCTGTGGTCGGAGCCTCAGGGCCATGGATATCATCTCTCATCCGTAAATAGAGTCTCAGGTACATGGACATATTCTCATGCCTGTAGTCAGAGTCTCAGGGCCATGGATATCATCTTTTATCCATAAATATAGACTCAGGTGCATGGACATATTTTTTGGGGTCTGTGACTACTGCTCACAGTTCACGTTCTCTTTCCAGGACTGCTCTATCAGTGAGAACTTGTACCCCATTATTGCTGCAGAAACACGAAGGACGACTTGGTGATCTGGCTTTTCTGTTTTTGAGCACAACAGCAACTAAACCTGACTTCTAAAAACAGTTGTGAAATCCTGATGCCATTTTATTTGCCAATACTATAATACGAGTCAAGCCGTAAGGAAAGAGAACACAAACAAAATGCAATCTATTAATCTTCCAATTGCTGTTTTCACTCTGAAGGCAAAAGCTAGTTTCAGCCTTGATCCCTTTACACAAGAGTAAACTTTGCATATGTATCAATAGAGATAGTTAAGTTCAAATATTTACTGAACACATCACTAATGCACCTAACTCTGAAGGTACATGTGAGAGGGCCAGCAGCAGGTGTAATATGTGATCTCTACTCCCTCCCCACCATCAATTAGCAATCTCATTGGGAGGAGATCTGAAAGTAGAGCTAAGAGGAAGCAAAAAAATAAGCTGACATCTGGATACCTCTGAATCTTCTGACCACCCATACTTTGAGCCATACATACTTGTGAAGGTGTGGATAGTGTGTGCCTGTGACGTGTGCTGGGGTGACTATGTGACCACACCTCAGTAGACCTGAAAGGGGGTAGATTGCATGCTATGTTTGCATAGCCACCAGTGGTGCTGCCCCTCAGTAGACACTGGGAAGTACTGCCAATCCACACTGCTCAAGATTCCAGTGCTCTATAGCCTATGGTAGTGTGCCATGTGCAGTGGCAGGTATACCAGCAACACGACAGACAAGATGTCCTAGAAGAGATTCTACCATGTGGCTTTCCACACTCCCTCCACTGCAGTGGATCCCAAACTAGGTTCTTACCTCAAACTAGGTGGGCCTCAGCAGTGCCCAGTGGTAAGCAAGAGGCCCAGTGGGAGACTCCATTCTCTCCCTGACCCCAGCTTCAAGAGCCACCCCACTTCCACTTGTGTTATGTGCTGGGTTTCCACATGATGATTTGGTTAAAGGATCAGTCAAACATTTAAAGAATGAACACTCTTGCTCTAGTGAGAGGAAAGGCCAAAAATACTAGAGTCTTATGGACATGGGAAGAGAAAAGGGACATATGTGCATGCTTGGTGGGATGACAGCTGTGAATGTGACATGTCCCTCCAGGATCGTAGCATCTGCACGGCAAGGCATGGCTCAGGAAAAGCCACTGAAAAGTTGTGGGTTCAGAAGGATCTGGCTACCATGGTGTACCACATATGTACATGCATGTTTGTGCATGCACAAGTCACACACACACCTGCCTGTGGCTGTTTACTAAGACCAGAAAAATGATGGTGAAAAAAAATGAAGCTGACTGCGGTGTCTGTGTGGGTGTTTAGTCAGACTTTTGTCCGATATTCATACTTCAAAACAAGGCAATACTGTTTCAGAAAAATGATTGTGGTATTTTTACATTAAGGTATGTTACAGGAGGGCTTACCCACTTGTATTTATTTTCTATGCTGTGGAACAGATTGCTACAACCTTAACACGTTAAAACAATACAAATGTCTTATCTCATCGTTTCTAAGGGTCAGGCATCCAGGTCTGGTTGAGCTGAGTCCCCTGCTGAGGGTCCGACAGATGAATCACGGTGTGAGCTGGGCCTGTGCCCTCATCTGAGGTCAAGGTCTCCCAGGCTCACAGGATATGGGATCTTTTTTTTTTTTTTTTTTTTGTTTGGTTATGAGGCTGGAGTCACCAGCTTCCAGAGGCTGCCTGTTACTCCCTGTCACACCCCCTACAGCATGGTAGCTTCCTTCTTCAGGACCAATAGGAAAGTCTCACATGGCTTCCAATCCCTCTGACCTCTTTTGTCTCTGACCTCCATCTCCTCTTCTAAGGGGCGCATCTGATTAAACCCAGCCCACCCAGGAAACTTTCCTTTTCATTAACTGAAAGTCAAGTGATTAGAACCTCAATGATACCTGAACAAGCCCTTCACCTTTGCCACATGGCACAACCTGCCCATGGGAGGAATCTGTCCATCATAGTAACAGATGCCACACCCATTCAAGGGGAAGGAATCACCCAGGCACATACACTAGAAGGTAAGGATCTTGGGGACCCATTGTAGAATCCTGCCTACCACACAGACACGAATGAAATCATTTTTCCACTCTTGGAAAATCTGTATTGAGGATCTAGTATGTTCCAGATACTGGCCCAGGAACTAAAGATGCAGAGAAACAGGATGGGCATGGTGGGGTTTGCAAGCTAGTGGGGGAGACAGACGTTGATAGATCACCCCTGAGTGGACTGTGTCAAGTGCAATGATGAAGAAGAGTCTCAACAGAGACATGGGAGCCCTGACCTGACCTAAGCTGGTGATCAGGGAAGACTTCCTGGAGGAAATGACGTGTGCTAGAACCTGAGAGATGAGTAAGAGTTGCCAGGAAGAAGGCAGAGGGTGGGAAAAACTCCAGACAGAGGCATCCCAAGGCCCTGGATCATGGCATCCCAAGGGCCCGGGGTGGGAGAAGCAAACCACGTTCAGGGAACTGAAACAGAGCCCAGTGTTGGGGAGCACCATCAGATCAGGGGGAGAGCCCAACTGCTGACCTGTCCTGTCCATGTGGACCTCCAAAGGGCCCATCAAGTGACAGCAGGAAGAGAATTCCAGGTCCTGGTTCTTGCAACTGAGAAGATGATGGGGCCATTTCCTGAGATGGGGCAAGAGAAGCACAGGTTTGGATAGAAGATGGTGAGTGCTGTTGTGACTATGTCGGTCTAAGGTGCCCGTGTGAAACATCTCAGCCAATTGGACACATGAGACACAGAAGCATCTGCAGCTCAGAAGGGATGTCCAGGTGCATTGGAGGAATGTAGAAGAGAGGATTCTCTGAAGGCCACATTCTTTACTGCAATCAATTAAACTTAAATGCAGAACTCCTCTCTATGATGCCCAGGAATTCATGAAAACTTCCCAAGTTTGTTTTGACCTTCATAAGAAAAACTCAGATTACCAAAATGGAATGTGGTCACTAAGAATGTTTCAAGAAAATATGTCCCAGACAGACATATACCGTTTTTTACTCCATCCTATGCCATCTCTGTCTTCTGCAACTCTCAGTGTCTGGTGTTTGTCATTCACCACTGAGTCACAAAGTAAAGGCTAGTATCATTTAGTGACATATAATCCAAGGACATAAGGATGGTTATTAGAGATGATAGCTAGAACTTATTTGGTGCTTACTGTACAGAGAACAATAAATAAATGATTTACATGAATTATCTCTTATAATTCTAACAGTAAAAACATAAGCCAGCACAGTTATTATTGTAGATTTATAAATGAGGGAACTAAAGATTATTAGAGAAGTTAATCAGCTTGTCCAGGACGTGGAACTAAGTGCTAGAGCCGCATGAAACCAGCAGTGAGGCTCCAGGGCCCACACCTTTAAGCTTTATGATGTTGTCCAAACCAGAACTAAAATGTTAAGTTCTAGCTCTGAAAAGATTAGCTCAGTCATCCAGAAAACCTTCCAAAATGCCGTGTTCTTCAACTTATCTATGTTGTTATTTTATTGTACAAAGTTCTAGTAACCATACAAGGAAAGACTGTGTAAGATAGATCATAAATCCATGCAGGAGGAGCCAACTGCGAGTTTAGATGGTGCAGTAAAAGTCCCTTGATCGGCTGTGACACAGGCATGCTCACGGAAATCATCACTTAAAACAAGGAATCACCAAACTTTGCAGTGGCCAGGAAGTACCTGAAATGTTGCATTTTAACTTAAAACATATAAATATGTATTTATTCCCTAATCATTCTCTAATCACATGACTTAGGATCACTTCTTGAAGTTTTGGGTGAAAAGATTGGAGCTCTGTGCCATCTTTTACTCCATGAACTGCATTTAATGTGTAGCATCTGCATTTTTCAACTGGTGTCTCAAGTAAGAGCATGTGACCATTTACCAACGATCTGTTTGCAAATTGGGACAAATCCACATGTCCCATTCTTCTCAGTGGTCCTGACCAAACATAGATCGGCCTTCTTCTTTCTTTCCTTTCTTCTTTCCTTCTTTTCTTCTTTCTTTTCTTTTTTATCCTTCTTTCCTTTTGTCTTCCCTTCTTCCTTCCCTCCTTCCTTCCTTCCTTTCTTTTTTCTTCCCTCTTTCCTTTCTTCCTTCCTTCCCTCCTTCATTCCTTTTGTTCTTCCCTCCTTCATTTCTTTCTCTTTTTAATTTCTTTTCTAACTTACCTCTAAGGAAGGCTTTCCAAAGTAGTCCCATTAACTGTCATAGAAACAGCTTTCTCTTGCACTTGAATTTCATTGGTTTACGTAATTAATTAACTTACAGTACTACCCATGACACGTACAATTGTCACAAACAGGTTGGAAACAAATACAACTGACTCCTCTTCAGCAGCCATTCAACTGGTTGGTGCTAAACTACTTGGCCTCCTAAAGAGAAGCTGTCCAGCAAGAATGTTCACTGTGGTGAACACCAACCAGGGGCTTTATGGAAAGGACTGAGAGTGTTGGCTAAGCTGGGGTGTCTACTAGGATTAAAATCCCCAGGAAACGTTCACTCTGCCCTTGTTGTTCAGGAGGAACCCTGGCAGCTCTGAACTAGGTTGTGGATGTCTTAGACATTACCCTCACCTGATAGAGGTTTGTTCTCAAGGGATTTTTTAACCCAGGATCTATCATTTATGTGTGTTACCTTTTCTAGACCTTCCACTGTTAGCAAGACTTGCCAAAAATGGATTACCAAGATTTTATATTTTCAAATGGTGACTATGTCCAACCCAAGTTAGTTCTCACCAGAGCTCTTGGTTTTGTTATGCAGACTTAGAAGAGTCAAGGTGACGATTATGAGAAGCACATTCAACTCCAAAACAATTTACTGAGCAGTTGCATTGCCATCAAAGCAGTAAAAGACTCACAGATTTCTCCAGGGGCTTGCAAGGGACTTCTATTGGTTTGAATTTCAATGTCTCCATCAATGTGGTTGCCCTCCATATGGACAGTGAGGTTAATGAGAAACAAAGCAAGAGCTCTGATGCCTTCCTCACTGGCACCTTTGACATTTTGGCATCTTCTTGTCTTGGCCATCTCACCCGCCCTCACCTCTTCAACCTGGAAAATAAAAGAACAAGAGGAGTGGGACATGCCTTCAATCTCACTCCCAAATCATGCTTAGTATTGCTGCCACCATGTTCTGCCTTCTTAGCTGGTTTACAGAGGAGAGTTTGTCTTACATGGATACTGTGAATCTTTGACCCAATAATCCCTATTCATCAACAATATTTCCATACCTCTCCTGAGCCCAAAGTGGTGCCATTACAAAATGACTAGGGTGAGGGAGGGTGGGGTCTCTGATGGCTGAGGTAGTTCACCCTCATGCTTCTCAAATTCAGGATCCAAAAGGTTCATCCCCAGTACATTCAAAGCCAAAAACTGCAGCAGAAATGAGACTGATCCAGAAGTTAATTCTCCAGTTATCCAGAGGCAGGAAGTTGCCAGGGGCTGAAATGGGTTGGGAAGACTCCCCAGGACAAGAGGGACTAGAACTGACTGTATTAGGTCCTAGAGCTACAAAGGACCACAGACTCCAACATTAGGAATTTATTTGCTGTCTCTGAGTTCTGGAGGCCAGAAGTCCAAAATCAAGGTGTCTGCAGGGCTGGTTCTCTCTAAGAGCTTTGAGACAAGCATCTGTCCTGGGCTTCTCTCCTTGGCTTATAGACGCCCTCTTCTCCCTGTGTCTTCACATCATCTTCCCTCTATACATGTCTGTCTCTGTGTCCAAACTGGCCCTTTTTATAAGGACACCAGAAGTACTGGATTAGGGACCACCCTAACAAACTCATTTTAACTTGATTACCTCTGTAAAGACCCTACCTCCAATTACAGTGTCATTCTGTGGTCCTGGGGGTTAGGACTTCAACATATGCATTTGGGGGGACACAGCGGAACCCATAACGCTCATCCTGAAAGAGCTGAACAGTAAGTGCGGAGTGGGGTCATGTTGGGAAGCGTGGGTCCGCAAGCCCAAGTTGAGGCCCCACCTTGTGACTAAACACACGGCTCTTCCAGTTCCAGGTCCTCCCGCGGGTGTGAAGGCAGCGGCGGCCTCAGCCTCCATGGTCTTTGTGTCCTGGCTTCCCCCTCTCAAGCTGAACGGCATCATCCGAAAGTACACTGTATTCTGCTCCCACCCCTATCCCACAGTAAGTTGGTAAATAACCAAGTGCCTTTCAAGCGTCTGCCAGGGACGAGCTGCAGGTGCTCGCACTGGACAGTTTCGTTCCTTTGTTTCCCACCTACCTGGGTCTTTCCAGTGGTTTTGTTTTGCCCCTGCTGTCTCCACATACAAAACAAAGTCCTCATTTACACCTCATTTGAAAATACGCTCCTGAATCATGACAAGGGGGACAATTGTCTGGAATTATTGTTTATTTGGTGAGTTCCCACTAAACTGCCAGCAGCCTGATCAAAATCAAAACCCAGAGGCCTTGATTGTGCCTTAATTGATAGTCAGTGGACAACACCTATTGATTTTACTGTTGGACTCATCATGATAAGCACTTCACGCCTTCCCTCCCTCCCTTCTCCCTCCCTCCCTCCTTCCCTCCCTCCTTCCTTCCCTCCCACCCTATCCCTCCCTTCTTTCCCTCCTCCATCTCTCACAGGGAAAAGAATAGCAGGCAAAACCCTATTGTGCTAGAAATGAGGGACTTTAATGAAGATCTATTACCCTTACAGTTACAGCAGTCAGCCTGGTTCATTGTGAAGGAACTAAAAGTTATTTACTATTTCAAAGTGTGGTTTTTGTTATCGTTCATATTATTCCTGCTGAATAATCATTATAAAGTTAGACTGCTTCTGAGACCACACCAAAACATATCAAAAAGGGAAATTTTAAAGAAAAGAAAACATTAAAATGACCCACCAAAATTGACGATGTCTTCATGGAAACATTATGACATTTTCTGCAGCAGGTGCCATGTCTCTTCCATCTTTGTATCTCCAGCTCCCAGCATAGAACTTGACACATGTAGTCATTCACTAAGCGTTTGTTGAGTGAATATACACACTGGTTTTGTTTCCTTTCTGGTAAAATACACATAACGTAAAACTTACCCTCTTGACCACTTTGATTATTGAGTTCATCAGTATTACATACCTTCACGTTGTTGTGAAGCCATCACCACCATCCATCTCCAGAACTCTACAAAACCGAAACTCTGTCCCCATTAAACACGAATTCCCTATCCTCCCTCCCACCAGCCCATGGCACCCACCATTCTACTTTCTGTCTCTGGATTTGACTCCTCTAGGGACCTCATGCATGTGGAATGATATAGCATTTGTCATTTAGTGACCAGCTCGTTTCACTTGACATGATATCCTCAAGGTTCATCCATGTTGTAGCATGCGATGGAATCTCCTTCCTTGTTAGGGCTGAAAAATATTCCCAAACAAATTTATGGATTAATCTTTTAATCAAGGTGATATGTTTGCCCAAGCTCAGAGTCCACAGGTGCCCCTGAGGCCTGGTGTACCCCAACAGTGAGTGTGTGAGAGTGTGTGGGCTTGCTTGGCCCATGAAGTTCCGTCTGTTGCTGAAAAAGCAAGGTGTGTTCTCTACTGCTTATGCATTCATGGCAGTACTCTGCCCTTGAAGTCAATATGTAAACGTAAATAGTCAGAGTTAGACTCCACAACATTTTTCTGGGCTTCTTATGTGGTTTTCAATATGCTGTTAATCCTCACTTACTGAATCCTACTATCAAAGCCCAGAGATGGAGAGCAGCGTAGACACTGAAAAAAAGCTGAGCCATTGTGCCCTCAATGCCCAGGGTGGCTTCTGCTTTTCTGCTTATCACTGACATGTCCCGTATTCACCAAAGAGAGACAAAAATTATTGCTGAAATAAAGTATACTCATTTTCCACTAGAACTTGAATTGCATCTGTATTAGTATTCACTCATTCATTCATTGATCTCTTTGCTATGGGATTCACGGTTGCTCTTTTGACTCTAACAGGCTAGAAAGCACCTAGCAGGGTATAGAAAGACCAGCAGCTTCCTCTCGTTTTGTCTTCTCAATCATCTTATCTTTATCTCTGCACTAAAAATCCCTACCTGGCTTACTTGAAATGAGTCCTTAGTGACTGATGCTTACTGAGAAAGCCCCTATTTGTGGATGATACAGGCTGTATTTGGCTCTGTCCTCCTGGCCTAAGAATTACATACAATAGAAAAGGAAGAAAAAACATCCTATCCTGAAAACAAAGTCACACAGGTGTTGTTAGATGGGGTAGAAACGCATTTCCCCAGGATTTCTCCTGTCTCTTCACCCACAGAACAATGGGATTTGACCTGCCCAGGATCTTAACAACACACTCTCAAAAGGGACAGTAATGAGGGCCAGCAAGGCACGGTGGTTCACGCCTGTAATCCCAGCACTTTGGGAAGCCAAGGCAGGAGGATCACTTGAGGCCAGGAGTTTGAGACCAGCCTGGCCAACGTATGAAACTCCGCCTCTACAAAAAATACAAAAATTAGCCAGGTGTGGTGGTACATGCCTGTAATCTCAGGTACTTGGGAGGAGCTGAGGCAGGAGAAACTCTTGAACCTGGGAGGTGGAGGTTGCCGTGAGCCAAAATGTCACCACTGCACTCCAGCCTGGGCAACAGAGCAAGACTCTGTCTCAAAAAAAAAAAAAAAAAAAAAAAAAAAAAAAAAGACAGTAATGAGAGCAAACCCACCAGAAAAAGGTGGGAAATAACAGCTGAGATTTTTATCAGGGTATCTCTGTGTTGCCTTTTGACCATATTAAAAAGACTAGAGACATAGAAATATGATGGGCAGGTGCCTGTGTTCTTCCAGGAGATAATACCTAGAAAGTGTTACAAGGAGGTCCCAGAACCCCAGAGCATCTTAATTGAAGTGAAGTGAACTAAAAACAGTTCCCTCTCCATATCCACCTTCCTGTCTATCTATCTCAACCATCATTTAAGAGCACGAGACCTATTTTTTACATCAAATAGTATCAGTGAGAGTCAAGCTCAGAGACAATTATTTCTCTTCAGAGGTGAATACTTGTAAATAGTATCCATTATTCTGTTTTAAATATGAAATGATCAAGAAACTTTAAAGTACAGGAAAGAGGGTGTTTTTTTGTTTTGTTTTGTTTTCATCAGTTTCTGCAATTTGACTTTCAGTCGGTAAACTAGATGCTGTCAAGTTTTCCAAGGCATTTGCATTTCTGGCTATGTGTGCGAATGACCACCAGAGGACAGTATGAGCTCTAGATATTTTCCTTGCTCATAAATCTGAATTTTTTTTTCTTTGAAATGATTTCATAGTTAAATGTAGAACATAGGGGGATAAATCAGGACACAATATGCCTTGTAATTTGGTCCCTTTTATAAGAGTCCCTCAGCTAACCTCCTCGCTGATGTCATTTTCTCTCAAGATCCCAAATTCATCTCCCCTTCTTGGGAAAGAACCCTGTTAAAATAGACAAGCTTTTTTCTCTAATATGTGACATATAATGTCTGCTGATAGGCATTTATTTCATGGTGCTCTCTCAGTTTAGCTTAGAAAAAGACATTAGAATTTGAAACTTGCATGTGGCCAGATGACAAGTTAGGGTAACTGAGAATGAATCTACAAACAGGTTGTCTAAAGATGATGTGGACTGAACATGAACTTTCCCTCGGGGGTCCAACAGTGCAATGAGATATTAAACTCCCCAATCAGAGATTCAAACTGCAAAATCTCAAAAGTCATTTGATTCAGAGCCTCATCCACATAATTTGTGGATTCTGGCTATTAATTTTAATATATAGTGGTTTGAATGATCAAACAATCTATTATAAGCAATGAAAATCCAAAGACGTGAGATAACCCTTTTAAGGTCCCAGGAAGAAAACAGCCAAGCTTCATTTCCTCCCCAACGCTCCCGTCTACATAAAAGCAGTCTGAAAAACTTTCACAAACAGACTGCTTTTACTATATACACATTAAATAAGCATTATGATATAGACATTGTCTGTTTCACAATGCTAATCTCATTTGCGGAGCTTAGAAATGTAAAATTAGGAAGCACAGACTTCTCATTAATGAAAACTAAAAATCAGAAGGCATAAAATATCTCTGAGCTGTGATTCACATTGGTTATTCCAGCTTCAGATGATAATGTTATTCAGTTCCTGTACATAGTAGGTGCTCAATAAATGTTGCTGAGTTAATCAGTGAGAATACACCACTACTCTTCTTACCCAGAAGACCTGGGCAATTAAGCTCTCCACATTGTAGCCCATAACTTAGAATTAAACAAGTCTTCTGGGAGGCAAAGTAACTCACCAGGTCCAGACAGCTTCCCACCCCAGGCAACAGGTGTGTGTTTGCCTCCCAATCAGCCACAGACTGCATCAAATAAAGCCATAGTCAGGCTGAGAGTGAAAGGGGACTTCCGAGAACCAGAAATGTGCAGGAATCTCAAGGAGTGGAAAAGTGGTATAACGTGGAATCTGGAAAGCAGCATCTAACGTGCTCATCTGTATCTACAATGATACTCATCGCTGTGTTCATTCTTCCTCTCTCACACGGAACACGGACCTCCTGGCTGTATTAAAACGTCGTTCCTCCCTCCCAGTACCCTCCCTATTTCATGTCACTGTAGCATATAGTGACGCTACTAGATAGCAATTTGCTTTTAAAATCCTCCTTCTCTTAGCTTCCATTATCATGTTTTTTATTCTTTGTTGCTTCTTGTCCCTCTGCTTCCCACCCTTAAATGTAGGCATTTCCCAATATTCTTCCTTTATCTCTTAATATTCTTCACTATCTCTGTGGATCATTGAATCTGTTCTTATAATGTAACTATCATCTGAAATTAAAGAGTTCGCATTTTTTATCTCTATCCTGACAATCTTAGAGAACCGTCAGTCCTATATTTCCAGCTTACCACCATCTGCGTACTCAGGAAGACCTCTCCAGTACTTCGCATTCAATGTGCCCACAAACACATTTATACTTGTGTCTCCCTCTTTTCCTGTGTTCTGATTTAGCTTACGATCTAACAAAATCTGCTGCCTTCTGACCAGAAGCCTTCAAGCTACCTATAGTTCCTCTCCTAATCATTTATTCATTTTTACCACAAATAAACATAGAGCACTACTCTTACACCAAGCTCTGAGCCAGGTTCTGAATCACATCAATCAAGAGATGCTGAGTTAGGGGGCATCACAAACAGGCCTGAAACCTCAGTGATTTACAACAACCATACAACAACCAATGGTTTTATTTTTCTTTCACGATCATGCTCATTGTGAGTATGTGGTAGTACATGCCATGCTATCTTCACTCCAGGAAGGACCCAGGCAGGTTTCATGACAAAGAGAAAGAAATCTCTGAGGCGCTGACATAGGCAGGTAAACGCTCCAAGCACAAATCACGAGCCAGAATCTGTCATAAGATTCTGGTCCATGTCTTAACCACAAAGGGACCATGACGTACGCTCCAAACCCATACCCAGAAGTTCCAGGGAAGGCAGGAAACACTAGACAATGTCACCCTTCTGTGTGATGTGACAGAGGACACAGCAATGATGTGCACAGCACAGTGCAGGAGCGCGGACTGGGTGTCACTCAAACATACGGCCAGAGATGGTTGCTTGGAACACATAGCTAGCCCTGGCTTGCAGGAAGAGAAGAATTTTACCTGATGAATCAGAGGCAGGAAAGGGTAATATGATCAGAGGAAATAAATGAGCAAAGTGACATCATGTCACAAGAGCTCTCTGCAATGTCTTTTTTGTTGTTTGTTTGTTTTGAGACGGAGTTTCACTCTGTCGCCAGGCTATAGTGCAGTGGCGCAATCTCGGCTCACTGCAACCTCCACCTCCCAGGTTCAAACGATTCTCCTGCCTCAGCCTCCTGAGTAGCTGGGATTACAGGCACCCGCCACCCCACCAGGCTAATTTCTGTGGTTTTAGTGGAGATGGGGTTTTCACCATGTTGGCCAGGCTGCTCTCAAACTTCTGACCTCAAGTGATCGGCCTGCCTCGGCCTCCCAATGCAATGTCTTCTTAATCTCCTTCCTTTCACACCCAATGCCATTGCCTTGCTTCAGGTCCTCCCCTGGAGAATCAAAACCAAGTCAGAAGCCTTCCCACTGCCAGGCTCAACTCCCAGTCTGTTGTCCACATCCCTGTCACAATTCCTTTTTCCAATTCTGAATCTGAGCATGTTATTTCCTAGTGCAAATTTATTGGATGACTTCGCAGTTTTTACCTAAAGACATTCAAAATTCTCAATATGACCTAGATAGATTTCCACAATCCAGCTGCATCTCCTGTCTAGTTTCATATTCTAAAAACCTTCTTCCATCCAATATCTAAGTAATACCATGTCTCATATGTGTCTGCATTTGTGCACGTGTGTGTATGTGTGTGTGTGTGTGTGTGTACACGTATTGGGTTTTTCTTACCTTTTCCATTCCATCCTCTTTGGTAAAAATGTTTATTGTTTAAAGCTCAACTTAAATGCTGTATTTTTATTTCACCACTTTTTATCACTGGCTACACATTAGGCACCGAGTGCCAAAAGCTTTATACCTATGGTTTTTGAACTTGCCCTATGGTGACCCACGATAGAAAATATAAGTTATAATCACGCCACGAAAGTACTCGCACACCACAAACTTACATTTACTACACGTGATGCCCTCCGATATTTTCTGTTCCATTTGACTTTTTTTCTATTCTATTTCATTTTGTTTTTAAAGTGATTGTCATGTTCCATTAAATTCCTCCTATGACTCACATTTTTAAAAATACTGTTTTGCATCAGTTAATTCTGGTGACTACCTTACGCAGGAGGTGTTATGATTGTTATCTTCACTCAGTGATACTGAAATGAAGACTCTGCAATCTGGCCAGGGTCACGCAGGTTAGCAAAGGAAGATGGGATCTGCAACCCACAGCGGGCTGAGCTCTTTGTCCTCATGCTTACCTGCCTTCCCTGGGATCCCAGTTCCATCCTGCCCCAGTACTCCCAGCACTGACTTTCAACCTCACTTTGACATAACCACAATCTCTTGCGTTATTGTTAGACATGGACATAGACTGGCAAACCTGGTATTGTGCTGAAATAGTGGATGTTCCTCAAATGTGTGTTGAATTAAATTTTATAGATGATGACTGTGAGTCATCTAAAAGAGGTTAAATTGTGTAATGAAGCTGTAGCTTAATAAGGCAAGAAATTGTGTTATGTACTTTGGGATGCTTTGTATCCCAGAAGGATTTGGATCAAGTGCCTGTGCTTTTAAATCACTTACATAGAAATCATTCTTCCATCATTTTATTTAAATGACTTAAGGATGAATCTTTTTTTTTTTTTTTTTTTTTTTTTTTGAGACAGAGTCTCACTCTGTCACCCAGGCTGGAGTGCAATGGTGCGATCTCGGCTCACTGCAAACTCTGCCTCCCGGGTTCATGCTATTCTCCTGCCTCGGCCTCCCAAGTAGCTGGGACTACAGGCGCCCGCCACCATGCCTGGCTAATGTTTTGTATTTTTAGTAGAGATGAGGTTTCACTGTGTTAGCCAGGATGGTCTCGATCTCCTGACCTCATGATCCGCCCGCCTCGGCCTCCCAAAGTGCTGGGATTACAGGCGTGAGCCACCGCGCCCGGTCGAATCTCTCTCTTTTTTTTTTTTTAATAATGGAAAATCTGAAAATTATGGAGATACCACAAGTTGGCCTAAAAATAGACAATCGTATTCCATTTACGCACATGTAATGAATCATATACATGAGACCTTTGTGCAGTGCTTCTACATGGCAGGCAGATGCTAGGCTCTCTATGTTCTTGGATCAACCAAGGATTACTGTAGCCCCAGCATCCTGTCATGGAATCATACGGCTGGAAAAAACCTCGAAGGGTTTCTTTGAGGCAAGGCTACATCTAAATATCCCAGACATGTGAAAATCAATTCTGGTTTTATAAAATTTCTTGGGAAGTCTATTCCTGAAGCTTTCTTGGAAATATCTTTTTATTTCACGGCTAGTTCTAATGGAATGCAGTTCGTTATTTTTTCACTTTTAAGTTCAGGGGTAACGTGCAGATTTCTTATATAGGTAAACTTGTGTCACAAAAGTTTGTTTTACAGATTATTTCATCACCCAAGTATTAATCCTAATACCCATTAGTAGTTTTTCCTGATCCTCCCCCTCCTCTCACCCTCCACCCTCTGAAAGGTGTGTGTTGTTGTTGTGTTGTGTGTTGTTCCCCTCTATGTGTGTGTATGTTCTCATAATTTAGCTACCACATACAAGTGAGAACATGTGGTATTTGTTTTTCTATTTCCATGTTAGTTTGCTAAGAATAATGGCATCCAGCTCCATCCATCTCTGCAAAGGACATGATCTTGTTCTTTTTCATGGCTGCATAGTATTCTATGGTGTATATTTATCACATTTTCTTTATCTAGTCTATCATTGATGGGCATTTAGATTGATTTCACATCTTTGCTATTGTGAATAGAGCTGCAATGAATATATGTGTGCATGTGTCTTTATAACATAATGATTTCTATTCCTTTGGGTATATACCCAGTAATGGGATTGCCAGGTCAAATGGTATTTCTGTCATTAGGTCTTTGAGGAGTTGCCACACTGTCTTCCACAATGCCTGAACTAATTTATACTCCCATCAACAGTGTATGAGCATCCCTTTTTCTCCACAACCTCACCAGCATCTGTTATTTTTTGGCTTTCTAATAATAGTCATTCTGCCTGGTGTGAGATGATATCTCATCGTGGTTTTGATTTGCATTTCTTTTTTTTTATTATTATACTGTAAGTTTTAGGGTACATGTGCACAACGTGCAGGTTTGTTACATATGTATACATGTGCCATGTTGGTGTGCTGCACCCATTAACTAGTCATTTAACATTAGGTATATCTCCTAATGCTATTCCTCCCCCGTCCCCGCACCCCACAACAGGCTCCAGTGTGTGATGTTCCCCTTCCTGTGTCCATGTGTTCTCATTGTTCAATTCCCACCTATGAGTGAGAACTTGCGGCGTTTGGTTTTTTCTCCTTGCGATAGTTTGCTCAGAATGATGGTTTCCAGCTTCTTCCATGTCCCTACAAAGGACATGAACTCATCCTTTTTTATGGCTGCATAGTGTTCCGTGGTGTATATGTGCCACATTTTCTTAATCCAGTCTATCATTGCTGGACATTTAGGTTGGTTCCAAGTCTTTGCTATTGTGAATAGTGCCACAATAAACATACGTGTGCATGTGTCTTTATAGCAGCATGTTTTATAATCCTTTGGGTATATACCCAGTAATAGGATGGCTGGGTCAAATGGTATTTCTAGTTCTAGATCCCCAAGGAATCGCCACACTGACTTCCACAATGGTTGAACTAGTTTACAGTCCCACCAACAGTGTAAAAGTGTTCCTATTTCTCCACATCCTCTCCAACACCTGTTGTTTCCTGACTTTTTAATGATAGCCATTCTAACTGGTGTGAGATGGTATCTCATTGTGGTTTTGATTTGCATTTCTCTAACAGCCAGTGATGATGAGCATTTTGTCATGTGTCTTTTGGCTGCATAAATGTCTTCTTTTGAGAAGTGTCTGTTCGTATCCTTCACCCACTTTTTGATGGGGTTGTTTGTTTTTTTCTTGTAAATTTGTTTGAGTTCATTGTAGATTCTGGATATTAGCCCTTTGTCAGATGAGTAGATTGCAAAAATTTTCTCCCATTCTGTAGGTTGCCTGTTCACGCTGATGGTAGTCTCTTTTGCTGTGCAGAAGCTCTTTAGTTTAATTAGATCCCATTTGTCAATTTTGGCTTTTGTTGCCATTGCTTTTGGTGTTTTAGACATGAAGTCCTTGCCCATGCCTATGTCCTGAATGGTATTGCCTAGGTTTTCTTCTAGGGTTTTTATGGTTTTAGATCTAACATTTAAGTCTTTAATCCATCTTGAATTAATTTTTGTATAAGGTGTAAGGAAGGGATCCAGTTTCAGCTTTCTACATATGGCTAGCCAGTTTTCCCAGCACCATATATTAAATAGGGAATCCTTTCCCCATTGCTTGTTTTTCTCAGGTTTGTCAAAGATCAGATAGTTGTAGATATGCAGCATTATTTCTGAGGGCTCTGTTCTGTTCCATTGGTCTATATCTGTGTTTTGGTACCAGTACCATGCTGTTTTGGTTACTGTAGCCTTGTAGTATAGTTTGAAGTCAGGTAGCGTGATGCCTCCAGCTTTGTTCTTTTGGCTTAGGATTGACTTGGCGATGCGGGCTCTTTTTTGGTTCCATATGAACTTTAAAGTAGTTTTTTCCAATTCTATGAAGAAAGTCATTGGTAGCTTGATGGGGATGGCATTGAATCTATAAATTACCTTGGGCAGTATGGCCATTTTCACAATATTGATTCTTCCTACCCATGAGCATGGAATGTTCTTCCATTTGTTTGTATCCTCTTTTATTTCGTTGAGCAGTGGTTTGTAGTTCTCCTTGAAGAGGTCCTTCACATCCCTTGTAAGTTGGATTCCTAGGTATTTTATTCTCTTTGAAGCAGTTGTAAATGGGAGTTCAGTCATGATTTGGCTCTCTGTTTATCTGTTATTGGTATATAAGAATGCTTGTGATTTTTGCACATTGATTTTGTATCCTGAGACTTTGCTGAAATTGCTTATCAGCTTAAGGAGATTTTGGGCTGAGACGATGGGGTTTTCTAGATATACAATCATGTCATCTGCAAACAGGGACAATTTGACTTCCTCTTTTCCTACTTGAATACCCTTTATTTCCTTCTCCTGCCTGAATGCCCTGGCCAGAACTTCCAACACTATGTTGAATAGGAGTGGTGAGAGAGGGCATCCCTGTCTTGTGCCAGTTTTCAAGGGAATGCTTCCAGTTTTTGCCCATTCAGTATGATATTGGCTGTGGGTTTGTCATAGATAGTTCTTATTATTTTGAGATACGTCCCATCAATACCTAATTTATTGAGAGTTTTTAGCATGAAGGGTTGTTGAATTTTGTCAAAGGCCTTTTCTGCATCTATTGAGATAATCATGTGGTTTTTGTCTTTGGTTCTGTTTATATGCTGGATTACGTTTATTGATTTGCGTATGCTGAACCAGCCTTGCATCCCAGGGATGAAGCCCACTTGATCATGGTGGATAAGCTTTTTGAAGTGCTTATTCGGTTTGCCAGTATTTTACTGAGGATTTTTGCATCGATGTTCATCAGGGATATAGGTCTAAAATTCCCTTTTTTTGTTGTGTCTCTGCCAGGCTTTGGTATCAGGATGATGCTGGCCTCATAAAATGAGTTAGGGAGGATTTCCTCTTTTTCTATTGATTGGAATAGTTTCAGAAGGAATGGTACCAGCTCCTCCTTGTACCTCTGGTAGAATTTGGCTGTGAATCCATCTGGTCCTGGACTTTTTTTGGTTGGTAAGCTATTAATTATTACCTCAATTTCAGAGCCTCTTATTGGTCTATTCAGAGATTCAACTTCTTTCTGGTTTAGTCTTGGGAGGGTGTATTTGTCAAGGAATTTTACCATTTCTTCTAGATTTTCTAGTTTATTTGCATAGAGGTGTGTATAGTATTCTCTGATGGTAGTTTGTATTTCTGTGGGATTGGTGGTGATATCCCCTTTATCATTTGTATTGGGTGTATTTGATTCTTCTCTCTTTTCTTCTTTATTAGTCTTGCTAGCGGTCTATCAATTTTGTTGATCTTTTCAAAAAACCACCTCCTGGATTCATTGATTTTTTCAAGGGTTTTTTGTTTCTCTATTTCATTCAGTTCTGCTCTGATCTTAGCTATTTCTTGCCTTCTGCTAGCTTTTGAATGTGTTTGCTCTTGCTTCTCTAGTTCTTTTAATTGTGATGTTAGGGTGTCAATTTTAGATCTTTCCTGCTTTCTCTTGTGGGCATTTAGTGCTATAAATTTCCTTCTACATACTGTCTTAAATGTGTCCCAGAGATTCTGGTATGTTGTGTCTTTGTTCTCATTGGTTTCAAGGAACATCTTTATTTCTGCCTTCATTTCGTTATGTACCCAGTAGTCATTCAGGAGCAGGTTGTTCAGTTTCCATGTAGTTAAGCGATTTTGAGTGAGATTCTTAATCCTGAGTTCTAGTTTGATTGACCTGTGGTCTGAGAGACAGTTTGTTATAATTTCTGTTCTTTTACATTTGCTGAGGAGAGCTTTACTTCCAAGTATGTGGTCAATTTTGGAATACGTGTGGTGTGGTGCTGAAAAAAATGTGTATTCTGTTGATTTGGGGTGGAGAGTTCTGTAGATGTCTATTAGGTCCGCTTGGTGCAGAGCTGAGTTCACTTCCTGGATATCCTTGTTAACTTTCTGTCTCGTTGATCTGTCTAATGTTGACAGTAGGGTGTTAAAGTCTCCCATTATTATTGTGTGGGAGTCTAAGTCTCTTTGTAGGTCTCTAAGGACTTGCTTTATGAATCTGAGTGCTCCTGTATTGGGTGCATATATATTTAGGATAGTTAGCTCTTCTTGTTGAATTGATCCCTTTACCATTATGTAATGGCCTTCTTTGTCTCTTTTGATCTTTGTTGGTTTAAAGTCTGTTTTATCAGAGACTGGGATTGCAACCCCTGCCTTTTTTTGTTTTCTATTTGCTTGGTAGATCTTCCTCCAACCCTTTATTTTGAGCCTATATGTGTCTCTGCATGTGAGATGGGTTTCCTGAATACAGCACACTGATGGGTCTTGACTCTTTATCCAATTTGCCAGTCTGTGTCTTTTAATTGGAGCATTTAGTCCATTTACATGTAAAGTTAATATTGTTATGTGTGAATTTGATCCTGTCATCATGATGTTAGCTGGTTATTTTGCTCGTTAGTTGATGCAGTTTCTTCCTAGCCTCGACAGTCTTTACAATTTGGCATGTTTTTGCAGTGACTGGTACTGGTTGTTCCTTTCCATGTTTAGTGCTTCCTTTAGGAGCTCTTTTAGGGCCGGCCTGGTGGTGACAAAATCTCTCAGCATTTGCTTGTCTGTAAAGTATTTTATTTCTCCTTCACTTATGAAGCTTAGTTTGGCTGGATATGAAATTCTGGGTTGAAAATTCTTTTCTTTAAGAATGTTGAATATTGGCCCCCACTCTCTTCTGGCTTGTAGAGTTTCTGCTGAGAGATCAGCTCTTAGTCTGATAGGCTTTCCTTTGTGGGTAACCCAACCTTTCTCTCTGGCTGCCCTTAACATTTTTTCCTTCATTTCAACTTTGGTGAATCTGACAATTATGTGTCTTGGAGTTGCTCTTCTCAAGGAGTATCTTTATGGTGTTCTCTGTATTTCCTGAATTTGAATGTTGGCCTGCCTTGCTAGATTGGGGAAATTCTCCTGGATAATATCCTGCAGAGTGTTTTCCAACTTGGTTCCATTCTCCCTGTCACTTTCAGGCACACCAATCAGATGTAGATTTGGTCTTTTCACATAGTCCCATATTTCTTGGAGGCTTTGTTCATTTCTTTTTATTCTTTTTTCTCTAAACTTCTCTTCTCACTTCATTTCATTCATTTGATCTTCCATCACTGATACCCTTTCTTCCAGTTGATTGAATCAGCTACTGAGGCTTGTGCATTCGTCACGTAGTTCTCATGCTGTGGTTTTCAGCTCCATCAGGTCCTTTAAGGACTTCTCTGCATTGGTTATTCTAGTTAGCCATTCGTCTAATTTTTTTCAAGGTTTTTAACTTCTTTGCCATGGGTTCAAACTTCCTCCTTTAGCTCTGAGTCGTTTGATCATCTGAAGCCTTCTTCTCTCAACTCATCAAAATCATCTTCCATCCAGCTTTGTTCTGTTGCTGGTGAGGAGCTACGTTTCTTTGGAGGAGGAGAGGCATTCTGATTTTTAGAGTTTCCAGTTCTTCTGCTCTGTTTTTTCCCCATCTTTGTGGTTTTATCTACCTTTGGTCTTTGATGATGGTGACGTACAGATGGGGTTTTGGTGTGGATGTCCTTTCTGTTTGTTAGTTTTCCTTCTAACAGTCAGGACCCTCAGATGAAGGTCTGTTGGAGTTTGCTGGAGGTCCTCTCCAGACCCTGTTTGCCTGGGTATCAGCAGCGGAGGCTGCAGAACAGTGGATATTGGTGAACAGCAAATGTTGCTGCCTGATCTTTCCTGTGGAAATTTTGTCTCAGAGGAGTACCTGGCCGTGTGAGGTGTCAGTCTGCCCCACTGGTGGGTGCCTCCCAGTTAGGCTACTCGGGGGTCAGGGACCCACTTGAGGAGGCAGTCTGTCTGTTCTCAGATCTCCAGCTGCATGCTAGGGGAACCACTACTCTCTTCAAAGCTGTCAGACAGTGACATTTAAGTGTTCAGAGGTTTCTGCTGCCTTTTGTTTGGCTATGCCCTGCCCCCAGAGTTGGAGTCTACAGAGGCAGGCAGGCCTCCTTGAGCTGCGGTGGGCTCCACCCAGTTTGAGCTTCCCGGCCACTTTGTTTACCTACTCAAGCCTCCGCAATGGTGGGCGCCCCTCCCCCAGCTTCACTGCCACCTTGCAGTTTGATCTCAGACTGCTGTGCTAGCAATGAGTGAGGCTCTGTGGGCATAGGACCCTCCAAGCAAGGCACGGGATATAATCTCCTGGTGTGCCGTTTGCTAAGACCATCGGAAAAGTGCAGTATTAGGGTGGGAGTGACCCGATTTTCCAGGTGCCGTCTGTCACCCCTTTCTTTAACTAGGAAAGGGAATCCCCTGAACCCTTGTGCTTCCTGGGTGAGGCGATGCCTCGCCCTGCTTTGCCTCATGCTCGGTGCGCTGCACCCGCTGTCCTGCGTCCACTGTCCGACACTCCCCAGTGAGATGAACCCGGTACCTCAGTTGGAAATGCAGAAATCACCCATCTTCTGCGTCGCTCACACTGGGAGCTGTAGACTGGAGCTGTTCCTATTCCGCCATCTTGGCTCCACACCACTGATTTGCATTTCTCTAATGATCAGTGATGTTGAGCTTTTCCTATGCTTGTTGGCTGCATGTAGGTTCTCTTTTGAAAAGTGTCTATTCATGTCCTCTGCCCACGTTTTATCGGATTGTTTATTTTTTTCTTGTAAATTTGTTTACGTTTCTTATAAAGGCTGAATATTAGACCTTTGTCAGATGCATAGTTTGCAAAAATTTTCTCCCATTCTGTCAGCTGTTTACTCTGTTGATAATTTCTTTTGCTGCACAGAAGCTCTTTCATTTACTTGATCCCATTTGTCCATTTTTGTTGTTGTTGCGAATTGCTTTTGGTGTCTTCATCATGAAATCTTTGCCCATGCCTATGTCCTGAATAGTATTGCCTAGGCTGTCTTCCAGAGTGTTTTTAGCTTTAGGTTTTACATTTACATTTTTTAATCCATCTTGAGTTGATTTTTGTATATCGTGTAAGGAAGGGAGCCAGCTTCAATCTTCTGCATATGGCTAGCTAGTTATCCCAGCACCATTTATTGAATAGGGAGTCCTTTCCCCATTGCTTGTTTTTGTCAGGTTTGTTGAAGATTAGATAGTTGTAGATGTGCAGTCTTATTTCTGGGTTCTTTATTCTGTTCCATTGGTCTATGTGTCTGTTCTTGTACCAGAACCATGCTGTTTTGGTTACTGTAGCCCTGTAGTATAGTTTGAAGTCCAGTAGCATGATGCTTCTAGCTTTGTTCTTTTTGCTTAGGATTGCCTTGGCTGTTTGGGCTCTTTTTGGTTCCAACTGAATTTTTAAAATAGTTTTTTCTAGTTCTGTGAAGAATCTTAATGGTAGTTTAATGAGAATAGCATGAATCTATAAGTTGCGTGGGTAGTATAGCCATTTTAAGATATTGATTCTTCCTATTCATGAGCATGAAATGTTTTTCCATTTGTTTGTGTCATCTCTGATTTCTTTGAGCAGTAGTTTGTAGTTCTCCTTGTAGGGATCTCTCACCATCCTAGTTAGCTTCATTCCAAGGTACTTTATTCTTTTTGTGGCAGTTGTGAATGGGAGTTTATTCCTGATTTGGCTCTCAGCTTGACTGTTGTTAGAGGATAGGAATGCTAGTGATTTTCGCACTATCCTGAGACTTTACTGAAGTTGTTTATCAGCTTAAGAAGCTTTTGGGCTGAGATGATGGCATTTTCTAGATATGGAATCATGCCATCTACAAATAGGGATAGTTTGACTTCCTCTCTTCCTGTTTGAATGCCTTTTATTTCTTTCTCTTGCCTGATTGCCCTGGCCAGAACTTCCAATACTGTGTTGAGTAGGAGTGGTGAGAGAGGGCATCCTTGTCTTGTGCCAGTTTTCAAGGGGAATACTTCCAGCTTTTGCCCATTCAGTATGATGTTGGCTGTGGGTTTGTCATATATGGGTCATAATACTTTGAGGTGTGTTCCTTCAATAACTAGTTTATTGAGAGTTTTTAACATGAATGGATGTTGGATTTTACCAAAAGCCTTTTCTGCATCTATTTGAGATAATCACATTGGCTCAAAATAAAGGGATGGAGGAAAATCCAGTAAGCAAATCAAAAACAGAAAAAAGCAGGGGTTGCAATCCTAGTTTCTGACAAAACAGACTTTAAACCAACAAAGAACAAAAAAGACAAAGATCTAACTGTCCTAAATTTACATCATCCTATATTTTACATAATGGTAAAGGGTTCAATTCAAGAAGATCTAACTATCCTAAATATATATACATCCAACACGGGAGCACCCAGGTTCATAAAGCAAGTTCTTAGAGACCATCAAAGAGACTTAGACTCCCACCCAATAACAGTGGGAGACTTTAACACCCCACTGACAATATTAGACAGATCATTGAGACAAAAAATTAACAAAGATATTCAGGACCTGAGCTCAGGTCCTGAATTAGATGGATTTGATAAATATCTACAGAACTCAAATGGATCTGAAAGATATTTACAGAACTCTCCACCCCCAAACAACAGAATATACATTCTTCTCATTGCTACATGACACTTACTGTAAAATTGATCATATTAATCAGAAGTAAAACACTCCTCAGCAAATGCAAAAGAACTGAAGTCGTAACAGTCTCTCAGACCACAGCACAATCATATTCAAAATCAATACTAAGAAATTCACTTAAAACTATACAAATTACATGGAAATTGAATGACCTGCTCCTGAATGACTTTGGGGGTAAATAATGAAATTAAGACAGAAATCAAGAAGTTCTTTGAAACTAATAAGAACAAAGATACAATGTACCAGAATCTCTGAGACACTGCTAAGGCAGTGTTAAGAGAGAAATTTATAGTACTAAATGCCCACGTCAAAAAGTTAGAAAGGTCTCAAGTTAACAACCTAACATCACAGCTAGAAGAACTAGAGAATCAAGAACAAACAAATCCCAAAGCTAGCAAAAGACAAGAAATAATCAAAATCAGAGCTGAACAGAAGGAGATAGAGACATGAAAAACCATTCAATGGATCAACAAATCCAGGAGCTAGTTTTTTGAAAAAAAAAAATAAAATAGATAGACCACTAGCTAGGATAATAAAGAAAAAAAGTGACAAGATTCAAACAAGTACAATCAGAATAAATAAGTGGGATGTTACCACTGGCCCCACAGAAATACAAACAACCATCAGAGAATATTATGAACACCTCTATGCACATAAACTAGAAAACCTAGAAGAAATGGATAAATTCCTGAACACATACACTCTCCCAAGACTGAAATAGGAAGAAATTGAATCCCCGAACATACCAATAATGAGTTCTGAAGTTGAGGCAGGAATAAGTAGCCTACCAAATGAAAAAAGCCCAAGATTAGATGGATTCATGGCTGAATTCTACAAGATATACAAAGAAGAGCTGGTACCATTCCTATTGAAACTATTCCAAAAAATCTAGGAGGGGGGACTCCTTCCTAACTCGTTCTATGAGGCCAGCATCATCCTGATACCCAAATCTGGCAGAGATATGACAAAAAAGAAAACTTCAGGAGAATATCCTTGATGAACATCAATGCAGAAATCTCAACAAAATACTGAAAAACTGAATCCAGCAATACATCAAAAAGCTTATTGATATAGTTTGGCTGTGTCTCCACTCAAATCTCTTCTTGAATTGTACCTCACATTTTCTCCATGTGTCATGGAAAAGACCCGGTGGAAGGTAATTGAATCATGGGGGCGGATTTTCCTGTGCTGTTCTCATGATAGTGAATAAGTCTCATGAGTTCTGATGGTTTTATAAAGAGCAGTTCCCCTGCACACCCTCTCTTGTCTGCCACCATGTAAAACATGCCTTTGCTCCTCCTTCGCCTTCTGCCATGATTTTAAAGCCTCCCCAGCCATGTGGAACTGTGAGTCCATTAAACTTCTTTTTCTTTATAAATTACACAGTCTCTGGTATTTCTTCATAGCAGTATAAAAATGGGCTAATACACTTATCCACCATGATCAAGTAGGCTTTATTCCCAGGATGCAAGGTTGGTTCAACATACTCAATCAATAAATGTGATTCATCACATAAACAGAAGTAAAGACAAAAACTACATGATTATCTCAATAGATATGGAATGTGGTTCTAAATCTTCTCAGTTTTTTGTGTGCAATTTTTGCCTATTTATTTGACTTCTATTCTTTAAGAAAGTGGAAGGGAAGTCGATGTTGTTTTTTATAAGTTTATCATTTAATAGTGGTCTTTTTTCCCTGTTATCCTATTCACAGTGTCTGTTCTCACACTGCTAATAAAGACATACTCAAGATTGAGTGACTTACAAAGGAAAGAGGTTTAATTGACTTACAGTTCAGCATGGCTGGGGAGGCCTTAGGAAACTTACAATCATGGTGGAAGGGGACACAAACATGTCCTTCTTCACGTGGCAGCAGCAAGAGGAAGTGCAGAACCAAGGCGGGAAATGCCCCTTATAAAGCCAGGTCTCATGAGAACTCACTCACTGTCACAAGAACAGCATGAGGGTAACCACACCCATGATTCAGTTACCTCCCACGGGGTCCCTCCCACGGCACATGGGGATTGTGGGAACTACAATTCAAGATGAGATTTGGGTGGGGACACAGCCAACCCATATCACACAGTGAACAAGCCAATAACTACTCAATCTTTCTGTTGAAGCTATATTTCAGTTTTCTTCTCATATTGTTCTCAGTGGTTGTTTGTCCACTAGGCATTATGTGAAATCATTCAATTGCTATAACTGGTAAAATGCAGATGGCCTATACTCAAGGTAGAAATCTTGGCCTTTAAAATTCTGAGCCCAATCATGTAATTTATAGAGCAAAGAAAACTTAAGCATATACTCCCCTAAAATTTTCATACAGAAAGAGGCCCTGGAAATCTCTTTTGAAGCTCAGTCTCATAAGACTGCCTGCCTGATTTGTCAGATAACCTGTCACTAAGCATTCTAGCTTTGAGGTAGCATTCATTCAGACTAGGTAGCTTAGTGTATGCCACCCTGAATGTACTTCCCCATTGCTGCGTAGAGCTTTCTGATTATCCACAGGCTAAAATGCCTTTAAAAAACTTGACTTTATTTTTTAAGCAGTTTTAGGTTCACAGAAAAATTGAGAAGAAGGTACAGAGATTTTCCAAATGCCCCTGCCCCTACTGCACAGCCTCCCCCACTATCGACATCCCCCAATAAAGTGGTGCATTTGTAACAATGGTGGAACCTACATTGACACATCATTATTAGCCAGTGTTCATAGTTTATGTAAGACTTACTCTTGGGGTTGTACATTTTATAGGTTTGGACAAATGTTTGATGACATGGATTCACCATTATAGCATCATGCAGAAGTTTCACTGCCCTGAAAACCCTCTGTGCTCCTCCTATTCATCCCACCCTCTTAACCTCTGATCTTTTTACTGTCTCCAAAGTTTTGCTAAAATGCCCTTTTTATCAATTAGCTTTTGGAGCTTTTGGAAGATTGCAGCTTTGAAAACATCTTATCTTTTTGACTTGGCCTGACACAGACATATTGTACTATTTAAGGAAATAAATTGGCTTTAAATCATTTTTCAATTAACACTAGTGGAAAGAGCTATTTTTTTCAATTTTGTAAATTCTGCATATATTATTTTTATTACTAAGAATGGTGTTTCTCATTAATTTCTTGTATGTGAGAAACTATATGATAACAAATTAGTTTTTTTGTACAGAATTTGTTGAATAGGTGACAGCAATCAAGTTAAATTAATAATGTAACTTTGACAGATAGATAATTTTCATGGCAGGTGGTATGACAATGAAAAGGGGATGAGGAAAAATTGTAGCAAAGGGAGATTATATCGGTTGGAAAGAGCCTGTTAACATAAGTATCTGTAATGCCACCTGGGCTAATTGGATGGTGCTTCTAATTCTAAACAATTACATCAAGAAACTAGTTTTTCTCATGCCTTCTCTGGATATCAACTTTAATATAGTTGCAAAACATTATAGCAATAACTTTTATATTTGGAAGGCCAAAAATAAAATATTTTATATTTGAAAGGCTTTTTAAAAGTAGCCAATAGTCTATGTATATAATTATATATATAGTCTACATATAGTCATATATATAGACATATATATAATGGTATCTATAGTCATATATATATATATGGTCATATATAAAATATTTTATATTTGAAAGGCTTTTTAAAAGTAGCCAATAGTCTATGTATATAGTTATATACATAGTCTATATATAGTCATATATATAGTCATATATGTAATGGTATCTACAGTAATCTCAGTGAAAGGCAGAGGAAACTACCAGAATTGCCTGGCTGTTATCCCATTTCTACCAATGTTGGCCTCTCAACCTATGCCTTTAGGAAGATCTTTCTGCCATGACATCTTCTTTTATAGATGGGAACTGTGAAATAAAATGGAAATTAGATCAAAATATATTATACATAAGAATTTTAAAAATCTTAAATTAATGCAGTGAACTGCTAATTCTTAATGGAATCCAGGCCATTTCTTTGCCACTAAACAAGAAGATGTTAAGCATTCTAAAAGTTCCCTTACCCTATAATTAAAAGAGCTATCAATTTTGTTTATTGCTTGGGGGAGTTTTTTTTTCACTGCTGTGGACATTCTATCTATGAAATCACAGCCTTCAAGTTTTTTTAATTGCATGTTAACAATTAGCTATCAGAGCTTTTTAAAACATCACATTTCCTTATAGAATTAGTTTTTCATTAAAAAGTTAATTGAAATTTTTAAAAGTAGAATTCCTTTTATATCAGACAGGCTGAATAGTTTGACATGAACAGCCTATGGCTTTGTAGTCATTTTATCCTCATTATTTCCTATCGTACTCAAATCATTTCTAGGTCATTACTAAACTCACCTAGTACAACAAGAATTTCTTCAGTGTATTCCAGTTACTGGTCATTGAGTCCCAGCTCTAAGCAATGCTCTGAACCAGGTTCCCTGCAGAGTGAGTAGAGGGATGGGTGAGTAAAAGGAGTAGAGGGATGGGTCGGGGAGCCTGACCCCTGGGGAGATGCAGTAAGCACATGCAAGACCATAACCCACAGTGGAATAAAGGCAAAGGCTATGAAAGACAAAGGGCAGACTTAGCCCCTGATTGAGAGGACTAGAGAAGGCTCTGCAAGGTCTTACAAGTGCAGCTACAAGCTAAGTAATGTGAGGGGTTCGGAAATGAATTTGGCAATTATTGGGTAAACGTCTAGTTTTATAGACATGACCAAAGAGTGTTTAAAGTGCCTCACTGTGGCTAATTATATCTTATTTACTGGTCAAAAGCATCTTACACATGAAAAGAAAAATATTATATCAACACCACAAGGCAACAATAATTGTGGAATGAAGGCAGGTCTAGAAGACGCTGTTCCCAGGCTTTCCATGAGTTGACCCTGAAGCACTAGGAGAAAACTAACTTCCTCACAACCCTTACACTCTTTTGACTGGAAGAGTAAACTGTGCACATTTAGTTCCTTAGGAACCCACGACTCTACCCAGCAGACCTAAAGCAGTAACATACAAAGACAAAACGCTTGAAATGTGAACGCTCTGGCTTGGGTGTCACAAGATTTATCCCATTTACTGTATTTTCCACTCTGGATACGGCTTTGGGGAGGCAAACATGTCAGAAGTCTTGTAAAACCTTGCTATAAATATTTTTTAAAACAAATATATGAAGTTTCCATTTATTTTTTAGGCAACTTATAAATATTCATCCATGTCTTCAACTATGACAGGGTTGGTTTTAGAGAAAGGTTCAAACGAGTTTATATCTAAATTTTAGTAGGAATTGGTCAGACTTCTATGGTGCCTCATTTTAAATTAATCTGTTTGCCAAGCTGTGGTCACTTCTTGCTCCCCGGGGGCAGGAACTTGCCTTATAATCTACACACTGCAACTGAACTCAGTAAATGACCATTAATTGAAACTCAGTAATTATTTACAAGCCCTTCCTATTATGAGGCATGAAGCTAAGAACTTTTGCCTAGATTTTCTTCCCACAGCCCAAAGGAGAGAACGATAGTCCAACAAGCTTCTATGTCTGGCTCATGGGGTCCTATAACTCTCGCCAACATCCCTTATCCACAGACCTCCATACTTTGAAGGCAGCAGTGTCTGCCTGGACCCCCCCCCACCACCTCCCACAGTAAAAACCATGACCAGCCCACTGTAAGAATAGTATTTGAGATGGTTCATTACATAAGCAACATGCATATTTTACATTTTATGTGTGTGTCCTCAGACCAAATACCCAAATCTTCCCCTAAGAACACTGTGGATTGCCCCTGTTACATGACATCGGTAGAGCAGGATTCCCCAACCCCCGGGCTACGGACTAATACTAGGGACCTATACTGCATGCTTCTTATGGGAATCCAACTAATGCCTGATGATCTGAGGTGAAACAGTTTCATCCCAAGACCATCCCATCCTACCACGTCCATCCATCTGTGAAAAAAAAAACTGTCTTCCACGAAATCTGTCCCTGATGCCAAAAAGGCTGGGGACCGCTGAGCCAGAGAGAGCCCTGTTCTTCTCATGCCACCATGTTATCTGGTGGACCAAGAAATCAGTAACTTGGCAGCCACTTAGAGCCTTTCAATTGAGAAGTGATTAATTAATAATAAATGTTGGCTTGCTTCTCAACTTGGATAGAGCCTACATGTTTAAACACATTTTAGATGAGAAATAACAGGCTTTTTCCTCAGCTAGCCAAGAGGAATATATGACAGATGCAAAATAATTGGCAACCCCAGTCCACAAATGTCCCATCCACTTCCTCAAGCTGGGCATAGACAGAGCAGGATTAAAAATAAGCCATGGAAGGGAATCCCTGGCATTCTGGTTCAGGGACATGGGGGATGGGATCCCTCAAGTCCATGCCTGGCGGCAACTTCGTAATGTTGGCTGTTTCTGTATTTCCACAGGTCACAAAGGAACTCTTATGTCTTCTCTTCAAACAAATGGTTAGCACAATTACTGTAGTCCACTCAAAATTAATTCACACTTTAGGCATAACAAAATCTAGGATGACTGACACGTCTGTCTTAACTCTAAAGAAGATGAGACTGGAGAGTTCAAAGTCTACCTGAAGAAAATGAAATATTTAAATATTAAGAAAAGTGTCTCTGTTGCTTCCCCACAGATTTCTCCTTTTGCCACATTTGGTTCATTAATCCCTAAGAAACTCCATTGTGAGTTTGCCCTTCTTTATACCGCAGTGTTTATCTGTTGTCCTTGATAGCGAAGCTTTGCTTTGTTTCTTTAAAAAAAAAAAAAAAAAAGATTCAGAGTCTCTGAAATAGCAACCCAGCTGATATATCAGGCGAAATCTGGAAATCAAAGTGATCCCTTCTCATTGAACATTCTCTATATTTGGAAGAGAGTGCTACGTAATAAAATATGCATGTAGAAATTAGCAAGTCAGTTTACACACTATTGGATTGTTGTGTTGGAAAATCTGGTATCCAATAAAAAGAAAATTAATGAAATATAAATATAGTCCATGCTATCCTAACTTAATAAAATATGGAGGGAAATATTTCAAAAGGAGATGATATTTATCATCCCTTCTTTTCAGAACAAGCATTTTTGGCTGAGCATTAAAAAGGATTTAATCAACTAGATTGGCTCCACTACACTGAGAGAACTTCTGGTTATTTTCTTCCCATTTTGCTCTTTTTTTCTTTTTTCTCCTACCTACTGTTAAAATGGTTAATAATGATTGAGTTATGCACCATCCATAGCTAATGATTCTGTTTACAATAAATACTATATAATTTACACTGCATCCCTCTGTTGGAGGCATTTCATGCCTATGGTTCTCTCTCTCAAGACATCCAGGCTTGCTCTGTCCTCTAGGGTCAACCAGTAGGCATCCTTACCCTGCTTCACTCTAGGAGGCGTGGCCAGTCCAGCCCAGCCTCCTCTCCTGTTGTGAGCAGGGCTAACCTCTGCCACTGTGGTTCGCCATTAGCCTTCTCAGGTGTGGCTCACTTACCAAGCTCTGTGTCCTTCAGACTCCAAGTTCTCCGAGAGATTCCCTAGAGCTCAAAGCCCTCTTCCACCCATAAGAGGGAATACTCACAGACCTCTCTCAACAGAAAATCCTTATTCCTGCCCCAGCCTCTTTTGGAGCCTGGAAATGGATGACTGGCAAAACATGAGAACCAGCAAGTCCTGCCCAGGTGGCCTCACAGCTCTTGTTAGGAAAGAAGGCACTGGCATCTTTAGGAGCATTCTCACGCTTTAAGATCATCGCTAAAACTTCCAGAGAACAGGAAGAGTCAACTTTAATATCCAGTTACATATATTCCAAAGAAAATAAATCAACTCTGATGGTTTAAATTGTTCAGTTATCAACTTTCTGCTTGCCCTTCTACTAAGACCAGGAAAATTGTGCCTAATTATGGCAGTCCTCAGAGGAATACACAGTGGCATCAAAGGGTGGTGACATCAGTGTAACTAACTTACCCAAATAACCAATAGGAGCCACTAACAGCTTGACGTTATTATTTTTCATCCTAACCTACGGAGAAATTAAGGAAGTTTCTATGAATATACCTTTTTTACTTCAATTCTTGATTAGTCTTCTATATAAATGATGAAACAAATCTTGTTGCATAAAAAGTCATATTTTATTGTTGATTTTAGCCATGCATTATGTTACAGGCAAAAATTAAAGTGTGTGTTTTGGAGGTAATCAAGAACGAATTTTACCTTGTCAACAGGATAAGTATGGAGTTTTAACTAAAAGCTATGTTGTCTACACAGAAAAAGATCTTTATTTTATAAATATATCTTAATGCTTTCCTGATGCTTAATGTTCAGTAAGAGTAATTGTTAGAATTTGCACATCATTAAGCTTTGTAAAATTAATTTGGCAATGACATAGCCTTGGAGAATCACACAATGCAAGTACATACAGTCTCAGGATTGTCTCTTTGGTTTATCAGGAAACAGGCCAAATTCCCTCTGAACTTCTAGAGGGACTAATTTTCCCATAATACTCTAAGACGTGACTGGAGTGTTGTAGTGGGAGGGGGGTGGAGGTGAGGTGTAAATGAGTGCATACACATGCACGTGCATGCTAGATTATAGTGATGTATCTAGGGAATCCATGCAAGAGTCTCTCCAAATCATCTGACACTGTGTACCCACAAATTAAAGTTTTGACAATAAGTAATTATCTGACATTATGTTTTGTTGAGGAAGCATGAGGTTGTATGACAATTAAGAGATATAGTGAAGATTTAAATCCCCTGTTTAATTGCATGACTGGTATTGTAACTTATGCAGCCTGCTGAGGCATGTAAGGTTTATTGAAAAGCTAACAAGAGTAAAAGTAAGTCCTTCTTGTTTTGGTCACTTCTAATTGACAGCATAAAGTGTGAGGAAATAGCACCAGACTTGGGACCAGAGGCCCTGAGCTGGAGCCATTGTTCTGCAGTTGTCTGGTCTTGTGACATCAGTGAATCACTTACTTTCTCTGAACCTCAGTTTCCTGATCTATAAAATGGATCCAGCTCCACCTACTTCACATGGCTTTTTAAGGAACAATTCTGACCTATCTAGGTCTATGTCTCCTTGAAGTTCCATTAGTTTTGTTTCATGTAATAATAAATCCTAAACGTTTATTCACCTAATAACCAAGCTTCATATCTTTGAATAATAGGTGAATATTAGGTGAATAAATGTTTAGAATTGTTATGTTCTCTTGATGAACTGACCCCATTATCGTTATGAAATTTCTGTCTTTATTACTGGTAATATCCTTTGCTTTTAAATCTATTTTGTCTGATATTACTATAGCCATTCCATATTTTTTTGATTAGTGTTATCATAGGATATCACTTAAGTTCCTTTATTTTTAACCTATTTGTGTTTTTATATTTCAAGTACATTTCTTTCTTTCTTTCTTTCTTTCTTTCTTTCTTTCTTTCTTTCTTTCTTTCT
Source organism: Homo sapiens (assembly GCF_000001405.40). Lineage (NCBI taxonomy): Eukaryota > Metazoa > Chordata > Mammalia > Primates > Hominidae > Homo > Homo sapiens. Next base: position 237,628 of record NW_025791814.1, on the reverse strand, counting down.
TTCTTTCTTTCTTTTTTTTTTTTTTTTTGAGACAGAGTCTCACTCTGTCACCCAGGCTGGAGTGCAGTGGCACAATCTTGGCTCACTGCAAGCTCCGCCTCCTGGGTTCATGCCATTCTCCTGCCTCAGCCTCCAGAGTGGCTGGGACTACAGGGACCCACCACTACGCCCGGCTAATTTTTTGTGTTTTTAGTAGAGACAGGGTTTCACCACGTTGGCTAGGATGGTCTTAATCTCCTGACCTCGTGATCCACCTGCCTCGGCCTCCCACAGTGCTGGGATTACAGGCGTGAGCCACCGCACCTGGCCTATTTCAAGTACATTTCTTGTAAGCAGCATATAGTCGGATATTGCTTTTATATCAGGTCTGACAATCTTTGCCTTTAATATATTTAGATCATTTATACTTAAAATTATTATTACTATGTTTATGTTTAACTCTGTGTAGTGCTATTTGCTATTTGAGTTCTGCTGCTGTTGTGCTACTTGTTGCCCTTGTCAGTCTTTCTCTGACTTCTTTGGGGTTTTTTTTGTAATTCCATTTTATTTATCTTATTAGTTCATTAGCTTTATTTTATGCTATATTTTGTAATTTCAGCAGTTTCCTTACAATTCACAGCATATACTTTTAACATCTTAGTGTACTTTCAAGCGGTATTACACACTTTGCATATAGTATAAGAAACTTACAATCATATACTTCCATTTTTTCCTCCCAACATTTGTGCTATTGTTAAACATTTTACTTTTATTTATATTATATACCCACATTACATTGGTATTGTTTTTAACTATCAACCATATTTTAATAATATTTAAATAAGAAATACCATATATATGTATCTGTATAATTACCTCCTTTTTCTACTTATTTGTGTACATTTATGTCTCTGTCTATCTGGTATTATTTTCCTTCTGCTGGAAGGACTTTCTTTAACATTTCTTGTAATGTGGGTCTACTGGTGATTAATTCTTTCAGCTTCTTATGTATCTGAAAAAAGTCTTTATTCAATTTCATTTTGAATTATATTTGTTGAATATAGAATTCTAGGTTGATTTTTTTCTTTCAGTACTTGAAAGAAATCATTCCACTGTCTTCTTACCTTGATTGTTTTTCAAATGAAATTGGCTGCCATGCTTATCTTTGTTCCCCTTTACACAACATTTACTTTCTCTGGCTACTTTTAAGATTTTCTCTCTAGCACTGAAACTAAAACTCTTGAGTAGTTTGATTATGATGCTCCTTGGTACAGTTTTTTTTTTTAATATTCTTGTGGCTAGAATTCACTGAGTATCTTGGCTCTGCGGGCTACAGTTTTCATCAAATTTGGAAATTTTTCAACCACTATTTTTACAACCTTTTTTTGGTCCTGTCTCTCTCCCCTCCTTTAGGAACTCCACTATGTGCATGTTAGGCAGCCTGATATTTTTCCATAGCTCACTAATGCCCTGTTAACTTTTTTATTCTCTTTTCTATGTATCATTTATTAATATGTGTTGTGAACCTCAAATATCTGAGACAGGTCTCAGTCAATTTAGGCAGTTTATTTTGCCAAAGTGAGGATGCGTGCCCATGACACAGCCTTAGGAGGTCCTGACAGTATGTGCTCAAGGTGGTCCGAGCACAGCTTGGTTTTATGCATTTTAGCGAGACATGAGACATCAACCAATTTTTTAACATTGGTTCCATCTGAAAAGGCAGGACAACTTGAAGCAAAGGCGGGACAACTCAAAGTGGGGAGGGGGCTCGTGAGGAGGGGGCTTCTAGGTCCTAGGTAGATAAGAGACAAATGGTTACATTCTTTTGAGTTTCTGATTAGCCTTCTAAAGGAGGCCATCAGATATGCATCTATCTCAGTGAGCAGAGGGATAACTTTGAATAGAATGGGAGGCAGGTTTGCCCTAAGCAGTTCCCAGCTTGACTTTTCCCTTTAGCTTAGTGATTTGGGGGCCCCAATATTTATTTTCCTTCCACACCTTTAAGTTCACTAATCAGTTTTTCTGCAATATCTACGCTGCTGCTAATCAAGTTCAATGTATTTTTTATTTCATGCATTATAGTTTCATTTCGAGTTTAATTTAGGTCTTTTTGTATCATATCTACTTAAATTTTTGAACATATACAGTTATAATACCACTATAATACAATTATAACTACTTTATTGCCCTTGTTTGCATAAATCTAATGTCTGTGCCAATTATGGGTGAATTTTGATTGATTGATTTCTTCTTATGAATTATGTTTTCCTGGAAATTTTTATGACAGCTTTATTGAGATGTCATTCACTTTTAACTTCAACAATTCAGTGGCTCTTAGTATATTCACAGAGTTATGCAACCCTTACCACTATCTAATTTTAGAACATTTTCATCACCCTGAAAAGAAACTGCACGCCCATTAGCAGTCATTCCCAATTTTCCCCTTCCCCTACCCTGCCCCTGACAACCACTAATCTATGTTGCCATCGATCTGCCTATTCTGAACATTTTAAATGAAGAGAATCACAAATGTGTGGTTTCTTATAATTGGCTCCTTTCACTTAGCATAATGTTTTCAAGATTTATCCAAGTTATAGCATTTATCAGTACTTCATTCCTTTCTATTATCTCATAACACTCTGATATGGCTTGGCTCCATGTCCCCAGCCAAATCTCATCTTTAATTATATAGCTCCCATAATTCCCATGTGTTGTGGGAGAGACCTGGTGGGAGATAATTGAATCATGAGGGCAGTTTCCTCTGTACTGTTCTCCTCGTAGTGAATAAGTCTCCTGAGATATAATGGTTTTACAAGGGGGAACCCCTTTTGCTTGGCCTCATTCTTTCTTGCCTGCCACCATGTAAGACATGCCTTTCACCTTCTGCCGTGATCGTGAGGCCTCCCCAGCCATGTGGAACTGTGAATCCATTAAACCTCTTTTTATTTATAAATTACCTAGTCTCGGGTATGTCTTTATCAGCAGCATGAAAATGGACTAATACAGACTCCATGGTATCGCTGTGACATATTATGTTTATCCAGTCATCAGGTGACACATATTTGGGCTATTTGTTTGTGGAAATATTTTAGTAGGTGTTAAACTTTGTGAACTTCACCTTTTGGAGTACTACATGCTTCAATTTCTATAAATTCTATAAATATTCTTGACCTTTATTCTTGGATGTAGTTAAGTTATTTAGGAATAATTTGTTCTCTCTAAGTCTTGCCTTTAAGAATAATTAGGAAAGACTGGAGTGGTATTCAGCCTGGGGCTAATTATTTCCCCTTTGTGGTAAGACCCTTATGCACTATACCCAATGCTCGAGGAATCTTGATGTTTTCCAACCCAACTGGTGAGAACAGCCACTACTCCCATCCCTGTGTGAGCATTAGGCACCGTGACCTCCAATTCTTTCAGGTGTCTTTCCCTGGCCTTGGGTAGTTTCCTCACATGCATCCATGGATCTGCTCAGCTGAATACCCAAGTAGGACCCTCTTCAATCTCCAGAGCTTGTCCTTTGTGTGTAGCTCTCTTTCCAGTGCTCTTCCTTGTGAACTCTAGCTTCCTTCAGGCTCTCAGCTCTGCCTCCTTAGCTTGGAAAGGCTGCCAACCTCCCGAGTTGAGGAGGTGGAGCTCTCTATTTTATCAGAAATAAAATTTACACTGCCCTACAAATTGCAAAATCTCTGCGATTGTGGGGTTTTCTTCATTCGTTTCCCATCTTTCAGAGATCACTGTCATTTATTACCTGATGTGCAATGCTTTTAGAACCATTGTTTTATGGATGGTGTGTGTTCCTCAGTTGTTTCAGGTGGGAGGGTAAATCTGGTTCTTGTTACTCCATCTCAGCCAAATACAGAAGTGCTGTGGCCTGTAATGTAAAGGGGTAAATTATTTATTGGTGGCCATCAAAGCTGCTGCAGAGAAAAATGTAGATGGTGGGTCACTTAAACTTACCAGTTACATTTTATATTGCAAAGCCAGCCTTTTAGAGGAGAGTGAGTTGAGTTTTTTTGTTATGATATTTAATATGTTCATGACCATTCCTTCGGGAAATCCATTTTTGCCACATGCTTCTTTGAATGTGGGAACACTTATGTCTCTTTTTACAGGTGATCAGCGAGTTTGAGGCCTCTCCCGACTCGTTTTCCTACAGAATTCCCAACCTGAGTAGGAATCGTCAGTACAGCGTCTGGGTGGTGGCTGTTACTTCAGCCGGAAGAGGCAACAGCAGTGAAATCATCACAGTCGAGCCACTAGCAAAAGGTAGGCAGTGGCTATAAGGACCTCATTTCCTGTTGTAACTTGACTGTTTTTAAGTCTCTATTTTACCTGAAATAAAACTTACACTTTCCTAAAAATCAAATAAACCAGAATATCACATTTTAGCTCAAGAAACAGGGTTGTGGCTAACAAGCTCTGAGCTTCTGTCCCATGGAAAAGTAATTCCCTGGAGGTAAACACAAAGCTGAGAATGAGTGGCCTTACAATGGAAGTGTCTATGAAAATTAGGAAAGGAGCCCTCATTCATTCCTTGGAGTAGCTGAAAATCATTACACGGCATTTTCCCAAGGATGTTCTACTTTCAGCAAAATCAGGTATCACACTTCTTAATGAGAAATGTCTATTTTATAGTCTATGGAATTTGCAAGCTTAAAAATATTTGAAAATCATTCACTATCTGTTGACAGAATGCTATAAGCAAAGACTTTAAGTAACAGCAGGAAGTAGGAGTCACCAAAGAATAAAAAGTTCCTTAAAGTGAATATAATATCTTCACATTTGTACGTTAAACTGGTCCTTAAAAAGCACACGCAGGCACGGGGTATTCTTGCTCTTCTGGTAATCACGGCCATCCAGTGTTTCCAGGAACCCCCTAAATTAGCATTCATAATAAGTCAATTTCCTTACGACACAATTCCAGGCCAGCAGGAGTTGCCCCTAATTTTGAGTTATAGAACAGTGGCAACTTATTACTAATATGTTCTCTGATAGCCTGAAAGACAAGAATGAACATTCCAAGATTCCAATTTTACCTCCAAGAATTCTCTGAAAAATGTGCTTTTTAATGAGATAGTTAAGAAATAGGCAGAATAAAGCAGTGAGGGGAAAAAAGAGGGGTGTCACATTTTGAGCTCAAATACAGATAGAAAATAAGTAAGTTGGTAAGGGAAATAAACTGGGGGACTTACTTTATGTATTACACTCTTTGGTCATGATATCCAGCCACTCCCTGAGAATGAGAAAATGATGATTACCAAGGAAAATGTTGTACATAAGGACTGAGCTGTGGGATTTACCAAAAAAACAACAAAAACAAACAAACAAAAAAACACTGCAACAAAACACATAGGATTAGCAATAATGTTTCTTCCTTTCCTTTGTGCTTTCAAAGTTCTATCTCTAGACACAGCCAGAAAGGCCTGGCTAGTGCAGTGGGGTATGACTTACTCAGTGGGGGAACAATTGAAAACTCTCACAGAAGCAGGTCTTGCCTGGGGAAATTCAATGTCCTCCAGTCATTTAATAAGTCATTTTGAGTGCCTGTTGTATGTCAGGGTCTATGCTGGGGACACAGAGGATTTGGTCAAGGGAGGCTGACTGCTGAAATAAATGTTCCCTAAATCTCAGTGGCTTCACATAATAATATAGTCCAACAGAGGTATTTTTGGTCAGGGCTCTCTTGGGTGGCCTGTTCCACATGGTGATTCAGGCATCCAGGCCCCTTCCACCTTATGATTTACAACCCTGGATTTCTCCTCATTTACAGCTAAATAGATGGGGGAAGAAGGGAGTATGGAGGGTTTGATGAGAGGTTTTCATGAGCCAGATACGGAAGTGTATACATTATTTTTACTAATATCCTATTGTCTAGAATAAAGGCATGGACCCACCAGGGAAAAGAAAACAGGGTTTGGAGAGCCCAGAGGAGTCTTTTGAGATGGTTTAAGAGATGTGTTCACTCCCTGACCCCCTGAAGCTTACAGTTTGGTGGGGAGCCAGTCAGTGATATGGTTTGTCTGTGTCCCCACCCAAGTCTCATCTTGGATTGTAGCTCCCATAATTTCCAAGTGTCATGGGACGGACCCAGTGGGAGGTAATTGAGTCATGGGAGCAGGTCTTTCCTGTGCTGTTCTCATGACAGTGAGTAAGTCTCACGAGATCTGATGGTTTTGTAAAGGGGAGTTCCACCACACATGCTCTCTTGCCTGCCGCCATGTAATACATGCCCTATGCTCCTCATTCACCTTCTGCCATAATTGTGAGGCCTCCCCAGCCATGTGGCACTGTGAGTCCATTAAACCCCTTTCCTTTATAAATTACCCAGTCTCAGGCATGCCTTTATTAGCAGCATGAGAACAGACTAATACAGTCAGTAAACAAAGCATCACAAAAGTATATGCATAGAGACAAACTGTAGTAAGTGCTATAAAGAAATAGTGTGAGAGGACCTCACCTGGAGTGTCAGATGGAGGACACACTTGGTCCCTGAGCACAAGCAAAGGCGGTTATGTGAAGAGAGAAGAAGTGAGCAGTCAGAAGCTCCTGCAGAGAAAGATTTAGCAGGTGGGAGGTCCAGGACACTGGACCCTGCTGGGGCCGGGGAAGGAACAGTGGTCCCAGAGACGCTGGGAAGGAAGACAGGGACCTGATCATGCTGGGTTTTCAACACTGTGTTAGGGATTTCAGATTTTGCCGCAAGAGAAATAAGGAGATGGTGTAGGGTTTTAAGCAAGGGAGGCACATGATCTCTCTTTCTCTCTGTGTGCATGTGTGTGTGTGTGATAAACCTTATTTTTTAGAACAGTTTTAGATTTACAGAAAAATTGTGATGATAGTACAGAGAGTTGCCATTTACCTCACACCTAGTTTCCCTTTTTATAGACATCCTAATTAAATGCCTTTCTTACAACTAATGGCGGGTGTGCTTTTTAAGACCACCTGGTCTCTCTGTCCTGAATGGACTGCAGAGAGGCAGAAATGGAGGAGGGTGGAGAAGGAGATAGCAAGAATGAACACCCAAATTCTCACATGAGTTAGCATAAGTGGAGGCACGATTTCTTGATGAAGAAGACCATGGAAGAAGTGGATTTTGAAGCCAGTGAGAGGAGGTACAGACATTTGGAGGGGTTCAATCCAAGGTGACGAAGAGGCATTCACTCAGAGGCATCTGTGCACTGAGGCATGTCCTGGCTCTCAAGAGACATCTGGCAGGAGGCAGAAATTCAGGCGGGTCAGCGTCTGGATATCGCTTACACCTGGGATGGGAATGAGATTGGCTGAGAGATGGAGGAGAGATGAAGGTGCAGGACGGACTCTCAAAGGGAGTGGGAGCAGGCAAAGGAAAAGGGGAAAAGCCAGAGAGGCAGCAGAGCCAGGAGGGTGTTAGGCTGTGGATTCAAAACAGATGCTTGCAAAAGGAGGGAGTGGTCAGGTGAGGCTGCTGCTGCTGGAAAGTCAGGCAAAACCAGGCGAAAATGCCCCTCAGTGGCCACACGGAAGATCGTGGTGACCTTCCTGTGAGCAGCATCAGTGGGTGTGGAGGGGCATGCAGAAATGAGCCTGAGTCAGGTGAGAAAGTGGGTAGGAGGTGAGGGGCAGGCTGACTGGGCAGAACATTCCTTCAACACACATCACCTGGAAGAAGTGACAACCAAGAGAAGAAGCTGGGAGGGGGAGGGAGGCTCTCATTCGAGGAAAGGCTCTGGGTTCATTATTTTTCATGAGGCCTGCCATCAGAGCATGTTTATGTGGTAACGGGAAGATCCCAGTAGAGAGGGAGAAACGAGAAATCAACAATACATAAGAAAGAGCCCACGACCACAGCACTGAGGTTTAGAGGAGGAAATGCCAGTAGGTTCACAGATTTGGTGGCTGGAAATGCAGGGTTCCTGGATGGTGTCTCTGAAGCATTAGGCAATTTGGGGATAGTGGAGGGAAGCCCAGAAGTGTGAGAAGAGGAGGGACAGCAGGAAGCCATCGTTGCAGGGAATGGGGAGGACATTTACTAAAGAAACAGTAAGACCAGCAGGGAGTGCTGACAGTTCAATTGAGGTTGATGATCCTAAATGGTGGTCAATCTCCAAATGCTCTATTGCATGGATTTTTTTTCCAGAAATGTTCAACTTTTCATGCTTAAGGGAGGTTGACTCAGGGTTAGGATTGCTGTAGGTAGGTTTTCTGGAAAGGGGATAAGCTAGGGAGTGCCTCAGGATGGAGCAGACAGTCAGTTGGGCAGCCCCCACCCAGAAGCCCAGACACTGGCAAACCATGAAGGCTGAAAGGCCCATCCTAGAGGGATGGGGATGTCCACAGCAGAGGAGATTGAGACAGGTTATTCTGTAGTTGTTGGGAAGTCAAGGCAGACCAGCAGCAGTCTAGCGACAGGTAGCAGGGTCCAAAATTCAGATACAGTTGAAGAAGAGGAGGACCACTGCTTTTATGGAGGGAGTGGCAGAATGGGGCCATGGCACTGGTCCTGGGGGAAGCCCCTCCTAGGAAGGGGTCCAGGACACGAAGGCACAGAGAGCCTGGCCCCATGGCTGAGAACAAACGGGACCCGAATCAGAGGGGACACCAGGTTGCAGAGGGGTTCAGTTTCTCATCAGAATCACCTGGGATGCTTGTCAAAAGGCAGATGCCCCAAGTACAGGAAAGAGCTGCTGAATCCACAAGGCTGTGGTGGGAACCTGCATTTTAAACAAAGATTCTAGGGGATTCTCTTGGCTGCCCCAGGTCTAGTGTGTTGAGTTGCCCAGTCATACATTTCTGGCTAGAGACCCTTTAAATTTCAGCCGTCTAAAATGGGCAAAATGGGCATTGAGCGATAGCATGGGGGTTGTTGGGCTTGAAGATGAAGTAGCTCTAGCTTGTATTTTTTAAATTGCTAATGGAAAAGCATTCATAAGTCCTGGAGTTAATTTGAGGGGTTATGCCCAGAATGTTAAAGAACAACAATGGAATAGAGTGGAACAGAGTCAAATCAACTAGACTAGACTAAACTAGGGTTTAAAAAAGACAGAAAATATCAGAATGCATCACATACAGTGAAGTCTTTATTCATGCAACTTTGTTTGCACATACACAACATCCCAATGCATGTGTAGCTTCTGGAGTTTGATGTAAAACATATTTCTTAAAGTGGGTGACTGTTATAAAGCTGGAAAGCCCCTAACTCTAGCTGAATTTCTCTAGCCACCCGCCTTTTACTGCTGAGGACATTCTCTACTCTCTAAAGAACTGTCTGAAGTGTGTGAAAAAGAAAATGCCAAAAGCTACCAATGCAGGAAATCTGATGCTGCCTAATCAGGACCTTTTTGTTATCATGATGCAAAATCAGAAATGTCAATGACTGATGAAATGGGCCCTGCCTTAGAATACTTCATCTCAGTCCAGGGAAATTGCTTGAAACATGGGTTTTGCTGCAACAAAAAACAAGGTCCAGCTTCTAAGCCCTCTGGCATTTTCTTTTTCTCTCTACTCTTGCCCACAGTGCCCAGAAGCAAAAATGTATGATTTGGTCTGGTAGATCCTAGTGACTAATGTGGGTATTCTATACTAGGATGGCTGCATAATGACTTGGCTCTGGGTACTCTGCCCTTCCAGGGATTCTAGAGCTTCCCTGGGGGAGCCTTCTCCTCATCTTCCTTTGCCAATGCAAACCCTCAACCCAGAAATGGTGCAGGGGTCTCACATTTGTCCCATTTTTATGGGCTCTGAATCAGTTCAAGGCTGCCTTCCACCTATGGTTTCCGGTCTGTGCATCCATCGAGGGTGAGCTCCTGTAGGGGCACCTGTTTCCTCTATGTCCCCAGCTCCATGACAGTGTCTGAAGCATACTGGCTAAAACAAAGGACAGGAGAAGCCCCGGGCTCCTGTTTACACCCCAGAAAGTAATGTCCCAATGTATGGCAAAGACTGAGCAGATTGTTTTCCTCTGGAAGACTTGTGTGTGGTGTCCCTGTCAGCTTTTGTGACTCACTGATGGAGGTAGCACTAGAACCTCTCATTGCTGGCCACACTGGACTTCAAGGCAAGTTCACCCTGGGCTTTTTCTGACTGTCTTCTGGGACTTCTGCTACCTTGGGGCTGCACCAGTACCAGATGCCCCTGGCAGATGCTCCTGTTTGGGCATCTGAATCACTGTTCCAAGCAAATGGTTGTTCTTCAAGAGAGGCCACTCTGAAAATGTTCATTCTCCTTAATGTGTGTCCTAAAGATCAACTTGCTATAATACAGTCGGGAAATTGTTAAGTAGAACTTGTTCCAGTTTTACTCCTTCCCGTCTTTGGGGCCTTTGTGTTTTGTATTGTCTACTTTCTCTGATATTAAAGTATATTTTAATGAGCAGTTTTTGTGTTGAGGTAAATTGCTTCCTAAAGTGCTTTGAGAAATAATTGGGCTCATAGAAAACACAGCTTGGAGCTGCTTGGCTTATGAAGCCCTAGATATTTAATTTGGACTCCTCATGTTTAGTCAATAGAAGAAAAGAATGCTACAATGGGAATTTTCTGCTAGTTGTGTGTTCTTACAATGACAATTCCTCATAACCCGGGTACCAGAGAGTAGTGTTGACAGTTGTAATGTGAATTGGCTTCACATCCATTTTTAGGTATTGCCCTTATTGAGTAGGTCATGTTGGCCTCTGTGTAGACACGTCTGTGGAGTAATCAGGATTCCACTTTGTTTGGTTCCTCAGCTCCTGCACGAATCCTGACCTTCAGTGGGACAGTGACTACTCCATGGATGAAAGACATTGTCTTGCCTTGTAAGGCTGTTGGGGACCCTTCTCCTGCAGTCAAATGGATGAAAGACAGGTAACCAGTAACCCAATGTATGCCTTCAGTGAGACTCTAAGAGATTACATCTGACATACTCAGGTTGTGTCTAGTGGTCTCCTAATTTTGTGTTTATTTATATTAGTGAAAACTCAAGGAAACCTACCAATTCTTCTGAGATGAGGGCAGAGAAGGAATCTCAGCTTTAGCACTGAAAGGGTCTGATTTATTGTATCAACCCTCTGTTAATTCAGAGCCTTCTAGTTCATGAGAGAATGCTTGCAAGGAAAGTAGTTGAACCAACTCAATTATTGTGGAAGTTTGCTGCACCCTCTCAGGTAAATTGTCCATGTAACTGAGATGAATGCAGCCAAGGCTATTGTGAGATTTAACACCTATCTCTTCTTCTTTAAAGATAGTGAACTAACCATAACTCAAATACCCTGAGAAAGAACTTTAAGAAATGGAGTACATTAGGACTTTGCTAATTTAAAATCTGGTTCTCCATACTCCATAGTAATTATTTAAATAATAGGAGCCAAGATAGAGGGAGAGAGTGAGTGAGATATGGTCTGTCCATATAACTTTTTAAAGTGCTATATCTCTATTCAGGAGAAGAAATTAGGATATAAGTTAAGGGTCGAAAATTCATTTATGAGCATAGAAATGTGATCTAATGGATTCAGAAGAATGCCTATTTTCAAGCAAAAGCACTTAGAAGGCATAAACTGTAGAAATAATGGCTTGGTGTAGTGACCAAACTGTAGAAATAATGGTTTGGTTTAGTGACCACTTTTCTCATACATTTAAAGTTGGTTCATCCAAATGAAATATGTAGCTCCCAAGGTCAAGTTGGCATTCTGCCTGTTGTGGGAATGACCCCAAAGGACTGGACAATCTGCCACCGGAGCAGTGGTTATGATGGCCACGCAGTTCTTTTTATACTAGGGTAAACTCATCACCCTCTTGAGATATCACATGTCATTTTTCATGTCAAAATCATGAATAATTGTGACTTTAAGTGAATCTAAAAATGATCCCAAGGTTTAGTTTCCCCTGTATGATTTGTTCAAACTGGCACTTCTGCCTACAGAAGAAATTCCCAGAATTGCCAAAATGAGGATATCTCCAGTGCCCACAGAGTGGAGTAAAGAGGGACCCATCAGTCTCTGGCACAGATGAGGAGTCCACTGACTTGAGCCAGAATCTGGGCCCTTGACACAGATCTCATCTTCAACGTAACATTTTTTACAAAGGAAAACTTCAGCTACACAGCTATTGATTGTTTTCATTATGTAATCATATTTAGTTCTTTCATAATGCAAGAAATATGAAGCTTCCAAATGTGTGGTTTGCTTCACAGAGTCTTTCTGTTTTTCCCCAACCTCAGCTAATTTGGATTGTAATTTCTTTAATCTGTGCATTTTTCTTCCTGTGAGGCAGTAACGGGACACCCAGTCTAGTAACGATTGATGGGCGGAGGAGCATCTTTAGCAACGGAAGCTTCATTATTCGCACGGTGAAAGCAGAAGACTCCGGCTATTACAGCTGCATTGCCAATAACAACTGGGGATCTGATGAAATTATTTTAAACTTACAAGTACAAGGTACAACATTTGAGGACTCTTTTTAATGATATCTTTTACATGTATGCTTTCTATGCAAAAAGTAGCACTGAACAAATTTTAAAATCAGCCCTTATAAAGAGCTAACTTCTGTTTCCATATTACAGAAAAAGAAAACACATGTTCATTTTGCAAAATATAATTAAACAAATCAAAGAAAATACAAAGCATTCACAACCTCAGAAATACTGAGATACAAAACATCTTTGCATACAGAATGCCTAGTCTCTTTTTTCTTTATGTGTACATGTCTAAAAAAGTCCTTCTTAATAATTTCCATTAATTGCACTGTTTACTCTACATATATGTAAGTGTATCCCAGAAAACACAAACAAAAAACAAGTCTGAATTGTGGTCTTTTTTGTATGCTAATTAACTCAATTTTTATATGCAATGTATTTTAAAAAATGAAAGTAACTGGAGCTCTAAGTAGATCGCTGTAGTATTTAGCTATGTATTTAATACTAAGTATTTTTCTTGATATCATACACAAAATGTGCACAACTTCAAAAGATTGTCATGTTAAAATTTTGTGTAAATCCCAATCAATAAGTGATTGAGTTCAGATTTGTATGCACAGCAATATTTTATTAGTAGAAAAATCAAAGTGTGTGCTTCTTTGGATTTAGGTGTTGTCACATTAATAGATTACAGCAAGTAAAAATAAAATCAATACTGTTCTCGGTGGGATGGAAGGAAAGGAAAAGAACTATATTTCTAAAAATGCTGCAAAATTGATCTTGAATTTCAAATTAATTGAAGTCAGGAGAATTCCAGGGAATTTTGGAAGACAGGCACTATATTATGACTCTGAAGAGATAGGTCAATATATTAGGCTTCTCTCAGAGGAAAAGAGAAGGGAATTTTATATGAAGCTTTCTATATGATTTGGATAACCTGATTCTGAATTTCTTTAGTGTTTCTGCCCTCAGAACCCATCCAGACTTACTTACCAGTATGTATTCTACAAGCCTTGTAAGAGAGACCAGTTCATATTCTGCAGTTCAAAGGCCTGCTTTTGATTTTCTGTGTGTGTGTGTGTGTGTGTGTGTGTGTGTGTGTGTGTGTGTGTGTGTGTGTGTGTTGCATCTTGGAGCAATAGCTTAGAAAGTGAAGATTTTTGCAATTCTTTTTCCCACTAGCTATTTTTCCTCCTTCCCCTTTTCCATCCTGAGAAGAACGGAACTGCTAAGTGGATGCCATTTATCTTTTTCACTTAAATTTCATGGCTGAAATTCATAGTAAAATGAGGCATGTATCCTTAGTAAGTTTAAAGAAGATTTCAATTAGTGATAAATAACTCAGACAGTCAAGGAACTGGTGAGGAAATGAGTTAGATATGAATCCAAGTAGAAATGTGGCTGAATTTTTTTTTAAATAATAGATTCACTCCGTTCTATCTCTTTAGCCCAGGATATCAACTAAATAGACATTTTGACAGAAGTGAATTGTATATTTTGGCAAACTGAAACACTTATTTAATAAATGGCTGTTAAAAATGAGTTGGTAAATGACTGTTCAGGAAAGTTAAAGATGTGAAAAACTAATTCTTGTTTTCTAAAAACTGTTTCCTCTCCAGTTCCACCAGATCAGCCTCGGCTTACAGTCTCCAAGACCACGTCTTCCTCCATCACCCTTTCTTGGCTCCCTGGAGACAACGGGGGCAGCTCTATCAGAGGTAATAAGATATAGATTGTCCACAATAGTTGATTAGTTGTGTGATCCACATGCCAATAAGTGACACATCTTCAGCAAATGACTGGTATGTGTTACTTTATTCTCCCCCAAAAATACGTCATATAAACAATCCCTCCATTACCTAAGAAAGAAACCATACATTTATTTTTAGGATATTTGTTGAAATTCAAATCATTCATCCAAGGATGCTCATTTAAGAGTGAAATATCAACAGTTGCAAGAAAGAAAGAAAAAAGAAATTTGGATATCTCTTTTTTGAGATTCTAAACACTGTTTCTTTTTTATTTTGTCAACACAAAGTCATTCATTTATGTAACCATGGGTACTGTCCTGACTTAGAAAGTAATAAAAGACAGAGGACCTAAAGTGTAGATGTAAAACAATCTATTTGCACAAAACCTTTGCAATTAGTTCATAGTTGAGGTGTATAAACAAGATTTTGTTTTGTTTTGTTGTTTTGAGATGGAGTCTCACTCTGTCACCCAGGCTGGAGTGCAGTGGCACTATCTCAGCTCACTGCAACCTCCGCCTGTCGAGTTGAAGTGATTCTTCTGCCTCAACCTCCCAAGTAGCTGGGATTAGAGACACACACCACTGCTCCCAGTTAGTTTTTGTATTTTTACTAGAGACGGGGTTTTGCCATGTTGGCCAGGCTGGTCTCGAACTTCTGACCTCAGGTGATCCGCTCACCTCGGCCTCTCAAAGTACTGGGATTACAGGCGTGAGCCACCACGCCCGGCCTAAATGAGGTTTATATGGAAGGAGTGAGCATGGTCGTTCTAGTGTGGGTGGAGTTAAGCTAGAGACAGAAGATACACAGGAAAGAGGGCCTGTACCATAAAGGAGGTCCCAGGGCCGGGGAGAGAGAATAGGGGCTTAGACTTCCTAAGGCAGAGAACATCCTTTCTTCTGAGAGAGAAAGAAGGCTGGGAAGTAAACAGGAAGTCAGGAGCATTTCAGAGTGACATCAGTAGTGTGCTGGAGCAGCTCCTTCCAGCTCCGAGAGTGAGGTGCCACATCCCTTCCCAGCTTCATGCTCAGTGGCCACAGCCACCCTAAGAACATTCCCTCACCATGGAAATCAGAAATGCTACAAATCAGAGCCTTTTTTCTCCTCTCCAAGAACCAGTTGTTAAACATTTATCAGCACTCCAATGGGTGAAGGGAAGATCTTTTTTTTTTTTTTTTCTTTTAGGAAAGAAAAAGTGAGGTGATTTTTTTAAAATCGTGGTGAGGATGTGTCTGTGGATTTGAGGAGCATGGGATAGGTTTGTAATAGCTGCCTTGTGGAATGCACAGAGAGTCATTAATAGATGAACCGAGTCATTGCCAAGAAGCTTGCAAGGACCCAGCTGCAGATGCACAGCACAAATTGTACGAGTCACAATTATCACTGTCTAATGACTTTCTTTTTTGTTTTGTTTTGTTGAGACGGAGTCTCACTCTGTTGCCCAGGCCGGAGTGCAGTGGCACGATCTCGGCTCACTGCAACCTCTGCCTCCCGGGTTCAAGTGATTCTCCTGCCTCAGCCTCCCACGTAGCTGGGACTACAGGCAAGTGTCACCACGTCCGACTGATTTTTTGTACTTTTAGTAGAGATGGGGTTTCACCATGTTAGCCAGGATGGTCTCAATCTCCTGACTTAGTGATCTACCCGCCTTGGCTTCCCAACGTGCTGGGATTACAGTCCTGAGCCACCACACCTGGCCTAATGACTTTTCTAAATGATTCTGGACAGCTGGGAAGAAAAGTGGATCACAGGTTACCAGTAACATAAGCATTGCCAGAAGTCTGAAGAGTGAGAGAAACTAGGCTCCTTGTTGAAATGGCCTACCAAAGGTTCCAGGCTGACTAGAGAACCTTCTTATAGGAAAAAAATAGGGGGCACCTAGGGATGGGCTCGAGGGACCCTAGGTTTTAGGCTCAAATGAAATGAGGCTTGGATTCTACAAGTGTGAGAGCATGGGAGAGGTAGAACAAGAAGGGTGTGTCAGAGCACAAGGTCTTCCAGATGAAGCCAGTTTTAGTGAGGGAGAGTTTCCAAGACAAAGGTAACCCAGCATTCCTGAAACACAGTAGTGGCCAAAGCCATTGCCATCATCAGGAGGTGTCGTAAGTTGTGTGCCCACACTGATGGACACTGATGGCACTGAGGATGATAGCAGGGGACAGGGAACTATACAGGCCTATCACCAAGGATTAGAGGAGTTTTTTGAGGTGGCTTCGAGGGTGGAAAGTGGGAGGAAAGCAGAGTCCCTACAATGTGTAGGGCGGCTGGAATACAGGCTGGGATGTGGCTGGGAGCAGGTGCACAGGTATCACCTGTCAGGTACTGAAGGAGCTTTATGGAGGTCAGATGAGGAACACAAAGGCTCAGGAAGGAGGAGGGACCCTATGGCCACAGAAGGCCAGTGGTGAGGGAAGGCTGAAAGGAGTAGGGGAGATACTGACAATGACCTCAGAAGGAGGCATCAGAGATGAGTGATCGCCATGTAAGGGGTGTGGAAATCAGCAAACCTGCCCATTTGGGTTTAGGAGACACTGTAGTGTGCAGGGAAAAAAATGCTTTATTTTTATTAAAATGGAGCTCCACAGGACAGGAATAGAAGGTACCAACCCGTTGTTGCAAACACACCATGTTCCAGGCCAGCTAGCCAGGGTGGAGAAGGAACATGGCTGCAGATAACAGGGCTGAAGGAGTTAACAGGAAGAATATTTCAGCATTCACAGGGGTGAAGAACATGGGCTTCAGGCTGACTGCAGGGTCTGCATCCTCCTTTCAGCACTTGGGACTCACCGCTTAACTGCTCTGGACTTCAGTGTCCCACGTGTTCTGTGGGAGAGTCGTCACTGTTCCATAGGGTTGCAGAAATACTGTAAGCAAAGGGCTTAGGACAGGGCTTGGCATGGAGTGAGTGCTCTAGAGTGGACAGTCATCCTTACTAGTTGTAAAAGTAGAGGTAGTGCTCATGTGGGGGAATGAATTGTTGGAGGAATTTTTCAAACCAAAGAGAAGCCAGGTTACTGTCAGAATAGTGGGATGGCTGCAAGACTTGGAGCTGTTTCTCCTAGTGTCTGTGAACTGTGAGACCAGGAGTACATGAGGAGTGAGGCAGTTGAAGAAATCTCTACTCCCATTGATAATGTATCCCTTTCCCAGAGATTCGAGTGTCTTGCAAAAATAACAGCTTCAGCCTATGTCTTCACTCAAGGATTCAGGCATGTATGATCTGAGGGACAGATATT
Organism: Homo sapiens; assembly: GCF_000001405.40. Lineage (NCBI taxonomy): Eukaryota > Metazoa > Chordata > Mammalia > Primates > Hominidae > Homo > Homo sapiens. Next base: position 220,299 of record NW_025791814.1, on the reverse strand, counting down.
TGGCAACTTAAGTATTCCCTGCTGCTCAATATGGCTTTTAGAAGAGAATGAGCAGAAAACAGCAATACTTCACAGTGATAATGTCTGGTGTGGCCCAAATGACTCACTAATCAATACATCATGGTGCTTCTCCCAGGCTGGGTTACATTTCCTGGAATCAGAAAGAGCGAAAATGTTCCTTCTGAAGATTCTTCAGTTCTGAGAATGCTCGTTCTATTACCCACACAAAATGCAAGCATCAGTCCACTTCCCATAGAAAGCAAACACAGTGCTCATGTGAATCTTTCTCATTCTCTGCAGGATACATACTGCAGTACTCCGAGGACAATAGTGAGCAGTGGGGGAGTTTTCCAATCAGCCCCAGCGAACGTTCCTATCGCTTGGAAAATCTCAAATGTGGGACTTGGTATAAGTTCACACTGACAGCCCAAAATGGAGTGGGCCCAGGGCGCATAAGTGAAATCATAGAAGCAAAGACCTTAGGAAAAGGTAGGTATGCCTTCTCATCGCTTCTTTTTTTTTTTTTTTTTTTTTTTTTTTTTTTTTTTTTTTTTTTTGAGACGGAGCCTCGCTGTTGCCCAGGCTGGAGTGCAGTGGCGGGATCTCGGCTCACTGCAAGCTCCGCCTCCCGGGTTCACGCCATTCTCCTGCCTCAGCCTCCCAAGTAGCTGGGACTACAGGCGCCCGCCACTACGCCCGGCTAATTTTTTGTATTTTTAGTAGAGACGGGGTTTCACCGTTTTAGCCGGGATGGTCTCGATCTCCTGACCTCGTGATCCGCCCGCCTCGGCCTCCCAAAGTGCTGGGATTACAGGCGTGAGCCACCGCGCCCGGCCCTCATCGCTTCTTAATATCCTTTCTTTTCCCGGCCAGAAGAGGAGATTGGAATCATAAAAGATCCATCATGTTTTACGTTTATGTGTTTGAACTTTGTCATTCCTCACATGGCTTCAGCAGTGCCACGGCATAATGAGAGGGACAGCTGGACCTTCCAGAGTGTTCTGGTCCTCTCTTTTATTGTTTCATTTGCAGTTAAAAAGAAGAATGTCAGTTTGAAAATCAAGGGCGTTGGTGTGAATGTGAGGTGCCAAGGCTGGGCAGCCATGAAGCGTGGCGCTTGCCCTCTCAGCCGTTTGGAGGCGCCCTTCTCCCTTAGCCACCCTTGCTCCCACCTTCCTATCATTTCCACATTGCCACATAGCCACCGCTTTTCAGAGGGAAAATGATGGGGTAAATTGCGTTTGTTTTTTTTTTAATCTAAAATGTGGACTTTCAAGGAGATGAATCCCAAAGAAATCATATTCAGAGAAAGAGGTTTTGTCCCAGGAACTCCAGAAGGAAGGAGGGATGATGCAGCTCTATGTGGGCATAGGAAGAAGGTGAGGAGATGTCTTTGCAGGCTTCCCTCCCATAGGAGTCCTACCAGGTGGGGTGGGGTCAGATGGCAGGAGAGCGAGTAATGAGATAGCAAGGGTATTATTTGTGCCTGGTGCCACAGTTTTGGGTAACAAGTGGTAAGAGGTCAAATGATCGGGGATTGATTTATGCAGAAATATATCCTTTAGGTCCCTGGGCACCAAGACCAAGTGTTTAGTTGTGGAGGAAAATCTGTTGGTGCTTCCCAAATCCAACTCTGTTTTCTCTTGAATCAGGTTCATCACATGAGGATGGAAAAAGTGCCCAGCACACTGCCCCGCAAACCACAGAAGGAAACCCATATGTGAACATCCTATTGTTCTTTAGGGAACTCTAAGATACCCCAAAATAACCTCCACCCATGCAATTTTCTGTCACACACCCAGGTCATTACAGTTGGAGAAAGCCTGTTGGTCCATAAAGTCTCTATTAACAGGGGACAAGTTGCCAGTGGCCTGTGAGCCAGACTTGGACTGAGCTCCTGGCCTCGCTGGAGGAAGCAGTCCGAGGGAAATGCGTGAAGATGCTGATGGCCTCCCCATGTGTCCTGTGAGCTGACCTCCATGTGCCTTCTCCCCCAGAGCCCCAGTTCTCAAAGGAGCAGGAGCTGTTTGCCAGCATCAACACCACACGCGTGAGGCTGAACCTCATTGGCTGGAATGATGGCGGCTGCCCCATCACCTCCTTCACACTAGAGTACAGGCCCTTTGGGACCACAGTTTGGACCACAGCTCAGAGGACCTCTCTCTCCAAGTCCTACATCCTGTATGACCTGCAGGAAGCCACCTGGTATGAGCTGCAGATGCGGGTGTGCAACAGTGCGGGCTGCGCGGAGAAGCAGGCCAACTTCGCTACGCTGAACTACGATGGCAGTAAGCTGGCTGGCTTTGTGGCTCTCCTGCTTGTGTCTTGGGGGATGTGCACGTGGGCCCTGCCCCTTTCCCATCGAACATCATCTTTGCCATAGTTTGACCAGTGCCCACGGAGCCCATTAGGCTTTCGGGATTCAATGGACTCTGTCTGGGGCTCCCTAGTTCGTTATATCCAGATGACCATCACTGTGTGTCCAGAAATAAGAGACTCAGGGCCATAGGGAGTCTCACTGGGGAGTCATGGGGCAGGAGTGATTTCTCTTAGGGCTGAAGGACTCTTGACCCTGTGGTTCTGTGCTTGTGTTGATGTCTATGAGCTAACATTGCTTTTGTTGTCTCCCACCCCTTTCCCCACCTCATCCCAATCCACATAACAACTTTCTTTTTTGCACTCATTACACCCTAAACTGCATGTGCAAAAACAATTTTCCATGGTAAAGGAGCTTATGTTAGTCTCTGGGCAGGAGCAGGGCCACTGATGGAAATAGGATAATAATAGGAATCCATGAACACGTGCACACACACAAACTCACACACACTTGCCACTTGCATTTACTTTCCAAAAACTAGGTGAGGTGTCTCTTGACATTAGTTAACCAAAAATAAATGGTTTAAAATCTCACTCATTTTTTCTGGTATCAAGGGCCATTTATTGCTAACTGAACAAATGCTAAGCCCAGTGAAGCTGAAAGGAGCGAGTCCTCGACTGCAACTTAGTAGGGGAACTTTAGAAAGTCCCAGCAGCAGCGGGCTGATGCTCATTTCTCACTAGGGGAACAGCAAGGATTGAGTTAGGTGCTCTAATTGCAAGGTAAAAACGGCAGCAATGCATCAGGATGAGTTGGAACTCCAGTGCAACTCTCCTCAGAGCCTTCTATTCACTGCCTGTTGGTCAGGCTAGACCACAGTGTTGAATGAGTTAACCAAGAAACACCCAAACCCTTTATTGACAGCCAAGCCAAGACCACGTTGGAAGTGCTCCTCTACCTGTGGGTGATGCTTTGTGAGGGGATGCCTTTCAATGAAGTCACTCATAACTGAGGGCTGTAAAATTAGACAGAGGCAGCCCATGAAAAGCATCAGCATTGCTCTCTAGGAGAGTGATTCTTTCTTTACTTTGTGCATTTGGGAGGCCGCTTTATTAAAGCTCCAGCAGGTAGCTCCTTGGAGCACAGTTTATGCCATCCTAAGAAGAGTGGCTGTGAACCTAAGGACCCACAGAAATGACCACCAGGAGCTAATGAGGTGACATTGCCTGGGATTTTCATCTGACCAATTTCTCCTATAATGTCCGGATGGCCCAGGGCTGGCTCTTCTTGCTTTGGCACACAGAGCAGACCTACCCCAAATCTCCTGTCCAAGGTCATTTTTCCACAACATCCTTCTCTGCCAGAGTCCAGGGTCTTCCTGGCACTTCTGGCCTGGGTCTCAGGGCTGTAGGAAGACCTTGAGCTTGTAGAAAGCTCTTCTAGTGTTGGTTACGCTAGCCGGGGTCCCTGGCCTCTGCACGGGCTCTGTCCTATGGCCCCAGAATAGCCTATGCCCTCCCAGACGACAACTTTTCTCTTCAAGGGCTGATGCTTTTCATGGGCTGCCTCTTTCTAATTTTATAGCCCTCACTCTTCAGTGACTTCATTCAAAGGTGTCCCCATCACAAAGCATCACCCAGAGGCAGAGGAGCACTTCCAAGCTGGCCTCTCCCTGTAATATGGTTGAATTATTTGATCTTACAAAATAAAGAACTTTGACACTTACCAGACACTTTACTTAGCATTTAAGGGTGCACCAAAATCCTCTGTTAACCAGCACACATTTGAGTAGTAAGTATCTTTTTTACTTTAGATCATTATCTTGCAATATTCACACTCTGGTTCCCAGCTTCTCTATAATATGTGCAGATGCCTGGGCACCCAGCTTAAATGTGCACACTGATGATATGCTCACAGCTAATGATTTAATTAGAAACTACTCATGTGTAGAATTTGAAACTGTGATTCTAATTCACAAAGTGTTCTGCGGATTTTAAATGTTTGTCTTCTAAGAAAAGATATAATTTTCTCACTTTATCCAAGATCCCAAATTTTGAAAAATGCTGCAAGCTACCTTTACGTTTTGGAAATATGAAATCACTTTATTACACTAAGAAATATGGCTGCATATTTATATTTTCCTTGAGAGAGATTACAGATTTCTTTGGACCAGTCTCATGAATGGATAGCCTCTATTGTCACATCTGCCTGAAGAACTTTGTTATCTTGAGAAAGCCAAGATTGGCAGCCTACATTCATACCACTCAGGTTTCAGAGTCCTCCATTTAATGATCTCACTCTTTCTTCTGCCATTTCCTTAGCCGAATGTTTCTGCTTGACCTAGTGTTGTCTTGGTTTTGCAGACCCCTCTTCATGGGCATCCTGTAAGTGCCTCTTTCCTGAATTTCTAAGCATTTGGAGACTTGGGCTTCCACAAAAACACTTTAAAGTTGGGAGAACACTCTTCTCAGCTTTAGCAGAGATCACAGAGGAACGAGGATTCCATTATCCCTGCTCTGCTTACTAAATGCGGGATAAAGACCGTTTTGCTGAGGGAGAAATTATATTATTTTTGCATTCTCTTTTCCTGAAGTGCTGACTTTCTGGCCCTTGTTGTACATGGAAAGTGCAGTGGCGTGGAGCATCTTATATAATGGAGGGTAGCAAAATATATACCTCATAAAAAGTGGATGCCTGTGTTTAGATCTCTGCACCCACGGTACTGAGCATCTGGATAGAAGGCAGCTTAAGATAGCTCAGAGTTCATCTTCCTTCAGTGTTTCCTTATTACTCGAAATAATCTAGATTTTGTAGCACTATTTAACCATGCCTGATCAAAAGTAGGCTCCTTTAGAAACCTAGTTGGGTCCCCTTTGAAAAGCTGTCTGTAGCTCTTGTACCCTCAAACCACAGCTGTTGAAGTAGATTTGGTCTTACACCTGCGATAAAAGCCAGCAAATTACCTAATCACAAGGGATTTGAGTTTCTTTATGCCAGTGTATCTAGGACCCTCTCCCTGCACACGCGCTTCTGTCCATTTGCCCAACCTTTTGTTCATTCTTTGATGTGCAATTTTTTCGAATAGTCTCTATCAATTGTACTGTGGGTGACAGTCAAGGGAACACTTAATTCTGGGTAGATGCATGTGGCTTTTGTCAGCACCAAGCCTGGGCCTCATGCTTTCAAGTGCCTGCACACTGTAGTGCATTGCAAAATGAAGTCCTTTTCAAACGTGCACTATAGAATAAGTTGGAAGTTCAGGCAGAGGGAGGGAAATAAATAAGAAAAAAAGTTAGCCAGGGCCTAGAGACAGAGTTCTTTTCATTTCTCATCACCTCCAACACCCTTGGATCACACAGCGCGATTTTTATAACCTGTCATCCCTAAAAGCTCCGCCATGCCGTCTTCATTAATAGCCATCTAACACCGTGGCCCTGCTTTCAGGTACAATTCCTCCACTCATTAAGTCAGTTGTCCAAAACGAAGAAGGGCTGACGACCAACGAGGGGCTCAAGATGCTGGTGACCATCTCCTGTATCCTGGTGGGGGTCTTGCTGCTGTTTGTGCTCCTGCTGGTTGTGCGGAGGAGGCGGCGGGAGCAGAGGCTAAAGAGGCTGCGAGGTAGGTCCAGGCCCAGCTGTCCACCTACGCGTGTCCCCTGCTGCTCTGCAGCCAATGGGAGAGATGCCAGCTGGAGAACAAACCTCAAAAGGGAGTGACTCTTCCCTCTTTAACCCAGGTCCCTCCACTGCCTGGTTCTCTGACATTCCTTCAGCGAGACTGCAGAGCCTCAGGGAAGAGCAATAAGAATGTTCCTATCTCGGTCAGAAATCAGGTGAAAGCCAACCTGTCCCCTAAATCCTAGCTGTTGGTATGCAAGGAAAATTAATTTTTTAACTCTAGTCTCTTAAATTTTCAGTGGGTCCAGCAAAGCCACCAATTGTGGCTTTCTATGAAAAGATCTATCAGATTTGCTCTGGGAATGAGAATTACTTGACTGACTGGAAGTGGAAATTGAGGGCTTAGGATACTGGTGAAGCATTGTGAGGCAGAGGACACATGCCATCCCAAATTAGAAACGGGAGCTGAAGCCCAGTGTAAGAGTTTCACTCTAATGTAGCAAAAACATAATGAAGGCTGGAGAAGCCAGGCCAGATGAGCTCCATTGTGAACAGACACCATGATTATAATGTCCAGCCCCGTGTCGTTCTGTGATGAGGCTGTTCTCAGCTTCTGGCCAAGAGCCCTTACTTGCCCTTGCTCTGCAATGTGAGGACAGGGAGTTATTTCAAATATGAAACTGTGCAGACGTGTTCCCAGGTCCTTTGCCCTTTACCAGTGAGGGTGTTTAACTAAGCCACTTTTTCGGTAACGTGTATTACAAGGGATTTTCATTTTAATATCAGTGCAGTGTGGGATACTGCTATGCAGCATCCTATGTGTGTTTCAAAGTTATGTTCAAAGTACAAATCTGGAAGCACTCTCTCCTCAAAACATATCCCAAACTTTACTGATACATTTAGAAAACGTTGACCTCTTCTGTAAATACTTAATTTGACCATAATCCACTTAGAGCAGAGAACATGGTAATATTTTCACCTGTCTTCACTTATCCAAAGCACCAAAGCACTGCTTTTTATGGAATTCTGGTACATTTCACTATCAACTTGCTTTTGCTCTGCCAACAAATTACAATTCTGAAGTACATTGTACTTCATCTGTACAATTAAGAATCTGTCCATGTAAATCTCCTGCAGCCCAATAATTCAGGTCAGCCATCAGTCTCCTTGAAATGTTCTTTCGCAATCGTGCGAACCAATTATCTTTTAATTTTGCAGACATTACTTGAGTGAATGCTAGGTGCTTAATACACAAAGATGAGAAGAAAGAGCTTTCTGAACTCTAGGTTTAAGGTAGGAGGTAGGCCCATAAGCAGCTACCAGTGAAAGACAAAACATGTCATGAATACAGAAATAGGGCTTCAAAGAAAGACCGCATCAGTGAAAAAGAAGGACGGATTAATCCCAAGTGGAGAGGAAAAGGGAGGCTACTTCAGTGCTAAGTAAAACAGAACTACAAGCGTATAATACAGCCCATTATGGTGAGAAGTTCCATATAATGTGGACCATGTTGAATTCCATTCAGTTCATCACTAAAACACAAAAAGGATGTTTTCATAACCCTTGTTCACAGTGGCCTGGACTTTAGGAGAATTATTATGAGATACCAAGGGTGTCTTTCCTTGTTACCATTAGACAACTATGTCTAACTACTTGCATTTAGAAGGCTGCACATTGTCTGTATGATGTTTCTAAAAACCAATAGTAAATATTTCTTATTAATGATTTTGATTTAATCACAAGAGTTAAGCATCTAGGTAATGCTTCTCATCGGTCTACACCCTCGCCAAATTCACTTTTTCTTCTTTTCCCTGACTCCTATTGCTCTCCATCCTTCTCAGCTACTATTTTATTTTTCCTACTCACCTTCGAACTTGAGCACCCCAGCTGTGCATTTCCTCTCGCTGAGAGCACCTCCAGTTAAAGGTGCTGTGGGCTCTTACTGAGTGAGGCCTTTGGGTTGAAATGATGACCCATGCACCCTGTATTTGTATTCTTAGTAGTTCCTTGTAATTTAATTGTTGCTGTACAAGGGCTATCTCCAGAAAACATCCTGGGGCTGGCATTTTTATTGTTGGCCTCCCTGCTTCCAGACACTAGTGTTTTGCAGTTGGTTTTGGTAAAGACAGCAGTCTATCACCTCAGAGAACATGGCCTTTCATTCTCCGGAAATAGTTTTGATTTCTATGTTCTGGGGAAAAGGTAAATCCAACACAAAGGTTTCAGTAGGAAGAAAGTAAGTGCTGAGGGAAAGAGGGAGTATTACTAAGAGATGTTAAGGAGCAAAGGATTTCAGAAAAGTAGCTTGCCATGGCACAAAGGTATCTGCAGTTCGGCATTTTGTACATGGCTAATAAAGGGTTCTCTCAAATCAAGAATCTGACAGGAGAGGCCGGGTGCGGTGGCTCACACCTGTAATCCTAGCACTTTGGGAGGCCAAGGTGGGCGGATCACGAGGTCAGGAGATCGAGACCATCCTGGCTAACACAGTGAAACCCCGTCTCTACTAAAAATACAAAAAAAATTAGCCGGGGGTGGTGGCGGGCGCCTGTAGTCCCAACTACTTGGGAGGCTGAGGCAGGAGAATCGCTTGAACCTGGGAGGCGGAGCTTGCAGTGAGCCGAGATCGCGCCATTGCACTCCAGCCTGGGTGACAGAGCGAGACTCTGTCTCAAAAAAAAAAAAAAGAATCTGACAGGAGGGCGGTCAGGATGCCAAGGATTGGGTACCCAATTTCACACCACTTCTGAATGGCAAGTTTTAATGTAGACACACTGCAATAAATTCAGTTTGACAAACCACTGTAGATTATCTACCAGGTGCAAGATGGAACCTTTTTTTAAACTAGTGGTAACATTTGCTGGTTGACCATTTCTATTTGATCACAAGAGTTTAGCCAGGTCCTAGAGAGAGAAGAGATTTCTAAGACTCAGAACTATAAAGGTGACATTGTAGTGGCAGTGGGTCAAGGCTTGCAAGGGGCAGACTCATCTCCGTAACTGTGCAAAGCACTGCCATAAAAGGACAGCGCCAGAGGTGAGGGTGGTAAAGGGGAATCGATGAAAGGTCAGGCATTGCCCCAGAAAGACGTTTGTTTCTTAGCCCTGCAGGGCCCTGAAATGTTCATTAATGATACAAAGTATTTTCAACTCACTCATGGAGGGAAATTGCAGCTGCAGAGTTTAAAGGAATAGGTGCCTGTCTATTAAATATCCGGAGTGCATTAGTCGAATCACCCAATAACAAGCGAACCCACATAAGGTACAGACTCTGTGCCTCTGGGAGAATAAGTTCAAATATATTTACAGACTCTACAGACAGAATATTTTGATTGTCAAAATTAAGGACAACATTTCTAGTAACATGTCAGTGTTGCGTGAGCAACCATCTATCAGGATCAAAAATGGAAATAAGGAGATTTGAATTATAGAAAAATATTATAGGGATCCCCAGTGGATGTTTTTAGAGTGATTAGGTGGGATCAATTTTATATGGTTGAAATTGATCACATTTTTCAATTGCTAGAAACAGCAAAAATGTTTATAAGCTGAGTATGTTTTACTGTATAGACAAGTAACCTAGTTAGATGAATATAATATAATGTTATTTTATGTAAAATTTTAGAAAGAAAGAAAGAAAATGGGACTCTAGCAGTGTCGTCAACCTATATTCTCTCTTCCTGAGTACTTTACTAATTTTAGAGCATGGCGACCTCCTAAACTCTAAATTGCCTGCAAGTGCCCACATTTTTTTTTAAATCTATAACCTTATCCAGGAGTTCAGGAGCCGCATTTTGCTTTTAATGATGCCCTGGTTTTTCTTGAACTTCTAGATCCTTTGAAGTGCAAGGTTATAGAGTGAGTCACTGGTTGGGCCTGAGATCCCAGCAGCCCTAACCTTATAAAATGTGATCCCGTGTCAAGTAATCAACTCCAATATTTCTAAAAGCCTCCTCCTTTGGTACGCATTTACGCAAGAAGGCACAAGCTTCTGTTGGCACCAGTTAGTGTGGGTCAACCTGCAGGACTTCAAATAAGCTAAAGATAAAAATCAGTGAGTGATGTCACATTTGACCATGCTTTTGTGGCAGAGTGTCTTGCTTCTCTTGAATGGAAATGTGTTTATTATTTTAAACATGCTTTGAAATGGATTGTTACAAAACTGATCAATTCCGGAAGAGACTGTTCCCAGAGAGGATCTGGGTTCATGGTGCTATGCAGGCAGATTAAGGGGTAGGTTATGAGAAATCATTGTTATTTTCTGAGTACTAACAGGACATTTATCTGCTCTGCAAATGAGCCCAAAGCTCCCCTCATTTGGAAAACCAAAAGGTAACTTGAACTTTACTAACCTAAAGCAGGAATGTGCATCCAGGAACCCAGTGACACTCAGACTTGAGATAGACTCAAAGTTTCAATAGATGCCCCAGCACTAATGCATAAAGCCACCCTGAATGTGGGAAGCCCACATTGTTAATGCATGAGTAGCACACATGCACCCTAGAGCTTTCGTTACCAAGTGTGGCTAAGATGGCATTAGAAGCCTGTACTCTGAAACTCTTTAGTTCTGTGCTTTGTGTTTTCTTTCTTTCTTTCTCTTTGTCTTTCTTTCTCTTTCTTTTTCTTTTCTTTTCTTTTCTTTTCCTTCCTTCCTTGCTTTTCTCTCCTTCCCTCCCTCCTTCCCTCCCTCCCTCCTTCCCTACCTTCCTTCTTTCCTTCTATCCTTCCTTCCTTCTCTCTCCTTCCCTCCCTCCCTCCCTCCTTCACTCCCTCCCTCCCTCCCTCCTTCCCTACCTTCCTTCCTTCCTTTCCCCTTCTCTCTCCTTTTTTCTCTCTCTCCCTCTCTCTTTCTCTTCCTCTCTCTTTCTTTCTGTCTTGGTTTCTTAATGAAATTATTCTCTTAAAACATCAAACTTGTTATGGCAAACTGAATAGAAAAGGCTCTCTGCATCTGACAGCGGGAAGCAAAAGAGCATGGGGGTGAGGGGGAGTCGAGGGCTACCAGTGGAGGGGAGCCAGGGAGTGGGTAGTCAGGAGGGGATTGTGGGTCTCAGCCGGGCCCTGGAGCTCTGCCTTGCCTGGGTGTCCTATTTTGTCTGTGTCTGTGCATGCAGTTTTTTCAGATTACCAGTATATATGGCCTTCTTTTTTTAATATATGTCTGCCACAGTTTTCAAATTAGCTTTCATCTGAGCATTGTGATGATTGGAAGTCCTATTTGGGATCTTATAAAAACATAAATGCAGGTTTATAGCCCTTGCAAAAATAGCTACTTTATGAGACTATTTCAATTCCACAGAAAGGCAGGGACTGTTGAGGGAGAGGCTGCAAATAAAACCTTTTGATGGATGGTAATATAAGGTCAAAATCTGCCACCCTCAGAAAGTTTTTTTGTGGATATCTGCAAGTGACTGCCCAGTAGAAGTATTAACCTAAGCGTCTTCCATTTTACGTAACTAGAACTTCAGATATGAAAATGTAGCCATGTGGCTATAAACAAGATTTCTCTTTTTTAAAGAAGCATTTGAGTGTGCAAAATGTGAGGCAGTTCAGCCTCTCAAGCTTTGCACAGCTGCAGTGCCTGGGGCCATGGTGGGCACTCTCCCACGCCATGCTGTGTCATGCTCTGCCTTGCTGATGTGCACCTTCATGCCAGGCACAACCCCAGGATGCAAGCTGTGGTCTATAAACAGAACACAGGAACTGGGCAAGACCAAGCTGGGAGCCTCCTCATCCAACCAGAGGTGCCATTTCCCAAAACTCGATCTAACCATGTACTAATCCACAGGCTACTAATGCTTCCCATTGTTTCGCTCCTCTTTCTTCTCCATAGTACTTCACTATACACCATCCTGCCTTAGTCTCTCAATAGCCATGCAAAATGGTTGAGTATGAACTGCCCATTATGATGCCCCAATTTTCTTTCTTTTCTTTTTCTTTTTTTTTTTTTTCTGAGACAGAGTTTTGCTCTTTTTGCCCAGGCTGGAGTGCAATGGTATGATCTCAGCTCACCACAACCTCCACCTCCTGGGTTCAAGCGACTCTCCTGCCTCAGCCTCCCAAGTAGCTGGGATTGTGGGCATGCACCACCATGCCCGGCTAATTTTGTATTTTTAGTAGAGACGGGGTTTCTCCAAGTTGGTCAGGCTGGTCTCGAACTCACAACCTCAGGTGATCCGCCTGCCTCAGCCTCCCAAAGTGCTGGGATTATAGGCATGAGCCACTGCGTCCAGCCATCATACCCCATTTTCTGACGTGAAAACTGAAGGCCAGCTATAGAATTATCCAGAATCACATATGAGTCCAGGCAGAGCTAGAAGAGAGTTCAGATCAATCTCCCTACCCTACTCCTCTTGCCATGAAACTTCTGCAGGATTTTGAATATTCAAGTAAGAAACAGGTTGTCTCATCAATATTAAGTAAGCTCTAAAGGTTTATCAATTATACCTGGAATTAGAAGATGTATTAACACAGTATCAATAGCTACTATATAATTTTATGTTTGCCCATCAAAAATACTTGGTCTATTGATTTTGTATTTCGATATTCACTACCCTTCAGCCTTCCCCTAATTATATTTTAAATATGTATATATTATATACAGAGAGAGGCACATATACATATTCCTTCTAGCTTGCATATCTTCATCCTACTGTCTCTCTGATTCTTTTCTCCACTGAATACTTGAGAGTATTCTGTCCTCAGCTACACTACCTCTCAATTACTCCCAAATTCCCACAGTCCCCTTCCACTCGCCACCCAAATGTAACTGTTCTCCTGAAGACAGATGACCAGTTATTCTCTGATCTCCAAATTATCCTTTCAGCCATCATTTTTTAGCCCTCTTTGCAGCATTCAGAGTGTTAGCAAATGTTGTCTTTTGAAATTCCTTCCTTCCACATTTTAATATCACTAGATTATCCTGGTATCATTTCTCCATCATTTCCCAGCCCAACAGATAAGGGAGGAGCCCAGAGCCAAGGATGGAAGTGTGGGAGTAGCAAGCGGCTTTAGAAAAGATGTCGCGAAGTCTGAATCTCAGGCTGATCTGAAATGTGTGGGAAAAAATGTGACAGGCAATGCAAGGGCTGTTTAGCTGTGTTTGGGCAAGAAGAACAAGGCTGTGAACAATGTTCTCATATTAACAGATGGCAGGTAGACAGGAGAGCTGCTCAGCATCTGCTTTGCTTGATGTGTACCAGGAGAAATGCTATTTGAATCAGAAAACGTGGACCAGGAATTATAAAAAGAAGGAAGGAAGGAAGGGAGGGAGGGAGGGAATGAGGGGAGGGAGGGAATGAGGGGAGGGGAGGGGAGGGGAAGGGAGAAACTCAGGATGCTTATGAAAATAATCAGCACCCTGATAGTTTAAAAGGATTTATTTTTTTTCAAAACATACTCTGTATTAGCCATTATGTGGAGGTGGAGATGTTGCTTTTTGCAGACAATGTTTACAAAGAACTATTACACAAGTTCCAAAGCGTAAGCAGCCTAATGCAGACAGAATAAATGCTGTGCTGTTTCACTGAAAGGAAAGATCTCCACCACTTAAAAAATTAGGGAAGCTGTCATGGGGTTCCAGTCCCATGATTCTGAAGGATAACATTTTAGGGTTCTGAACAAAATTTTTCCAGACATAACCCCAAGATCTTTCTGGATAACCTTTGAACAATCAAATGTAAATTAGAGGTGTTAGAAAATGATTATGCAGATGGTCCCTGACTTACTATGGTTCAACTTAGGAGTTTTTGACTTTGCAATGGTGCAAAAATGATATGCATTCAGTAGAAACTGTATTTTGAATTTTGATCTTTGTCTGGGTTAGTGATATGTGATCCATTATTTTTACATGAGATACTCAACACCTTATTATAAAATAAGCTCTGTGTTAGATAGTTTTGCCCAACTGTAGGGTAGGGTAAATGTTCTGAGCACGTTGAAGATAGGCTAGGCTAAGCCCTGATGTTTGGTAGGTCAGGCATATTAAATGCATTTTTGACTTAATTATATTTTCAATTGATGATGGGTTCATCAGGAGGTAATCGTAAGTCAAAGAGCATCTAGACCCTGGACCCATTTTCAACAACAATAGATTAATTCTGGACATTATAGACTGAAATAAGTTAGTTGAGGTTATAGAAAGGATGTTTTGTGAGCAATCAGGGAAGGGAAGGGACCACCAGGGGCCCAGACAAACTCCATTTGCATTTTGACAGGGCTGATTAATAAGGGTACACCAGGATGTAGCTGAAAGCATGGGCAGGCTAATCCAATCTTGGAGGCCACATACATCCTGGTGGGGAAGCTAATGTATTAGAGGGACAAATCCACATTTTAAGAGATTTTGAAAGGCTGGAAGCAAGAAGATACAGTTTAATAGGAATAATTGTGAAGTCTTCTATAGAAGTGGTAAAAAAAAATTCATTTGCAACACGTATAATGAGCATTGTGCTCTCCCTAGTGTGCTAGAAGATCAAGAATTACCAGCGTCTTTCTCAGCCTCATTTTATAGAGAAATAAAAAAATCACAAACCTTTCAAAGAAGAGATTCCCAAGTAGGGAATTACCTAGAAATCATTCCGTATGAGGAGTGGCTGAGAAAATTAGAGAATGTAACCCAGAAAAGAGAAAGCTGAGGCCAAGCAAGGGAAATGCAGCTACATGGAAATATCTGAACAGCTGGCAAATGACTTCAGGTTAAAATTACATCAAGGAATTTCTGCACAAGAAAAGGAAGATGTCTCTCACAATTAAATGTGTCCTCAGGAAATCTTTGTGCAGCTTCACTATGGATCAGGGACAGGACTGTGCCCAAAAGGGCCAAGAGAAAGACAACCCGAAAACAGGTGGGCACAGTATGAGCTGGGAAGGGCTGTCTGAGATATAAGGCAGAGGTCCAGGGAAGCGGAGGGAACCGAAGCTTCACCCCTGCCTACTGGGCATGGGAGGGTACACGGAGCAAGTTGCGTCTGCATGGGGCGGTGGGGACGATGGAGGGCTTTGCACTAGCAAAGTCTTGGGCTCTCTGCAGAAAGTGGCAAGTGCAGGAAACTCAGAGAGAGGTTGGAGGTTACAAGTGAGCGGCAGCGGAGCCGGATGACAGCTTGGACCAGCACGGAAGGTGGGTTCTCTGTGCTAATGAGGGCTGTTGCAGTGAGGTCCCTTTGAAGGTTTCAAAGCACAGGTATCACTCAGTAAGATGGATTCCAGTCTTCACCCTTCCTGCAGTGTGGGTATCAGTGTTGGGCACACCAGCAGTAAGGATGCTGACTAATAAGTGAGATTAGGACTGAGAAGAGAAAAAACAAAGGTTCCCCTGGGGACATGCTGGCTGGGAGAGACCTGCAGACCTGGAAGGCAGGAGAGTACTGGGAGGAGAGGAAGGACACTAGGTGTGCAGCAGGAGCACCGACCCCAACCGTGGAGTGGCAGTGGCCCCAGCTCTGGATTCATGCAGACAGAGAATATGTGTACGTCTGTGTAAGACATTGTGAAAGGGATTCCAACATTCATTAGGTGGCCAATCTGAAAAGTCTTTATTGCTCTTAAGATTCTGTGATTCCGGGACTTTAAATTTTTTTCTTGGCTTGTCTCAGACTCTCTTCTCACCCTCAACAAAAGTGTGTCCCAGATGAGATTTTGCCATCTTCTTTTTGCACTCTCTCTATGGGGATATGAAAAACACCCAGACCCTCATCTCAGCCCTGGCATCTTTCCAAATTTGATTCCAAATTTGCCTCTGAACAGCCTCACCTAATGTCCCCCGATATTGAAACTAGACAAGTCTCTCCCAAGATTGCTGCTTCCATGTTGTTCTAGTCCATTCCTGTCACTCATGTTACTACATCCAGCTCTGCATATCCCAAATTTTGCCCTTTTCCTGGACTCCCTGCAACTCCTCCTTGTCCCACTGTACACCTGGTAGGACTCTGATTCGTACAGATTTCCTCTATCTTCACATTATAATGTTACCCACATAACCCTGGCTCTCTTCTCTAATGCCCAGAGCCTCTCACTTGGACTAAGGACTAAGAAGCTTTCAACAAGTCCCAGGCCCCCACCTCCACATTCAGAGCATTCTGGATTGCCTGGTGGATGCTAGTTCACAGCACCCACACCCATCCACCACCCACCTCTGCCCTCCTTTTTCCTCTCTCCCTTTGGCCCAGGTAGAAGCTTTCAGGTCAGTAATACAAAGTCACATCTCCTTAGCTCTTTAATGTCTAGACTGTGCACCAGACCACCATCCTGGCAACTTCTCTGTCCAGTCAAATTGACCTAGACTTTACTTCTCAAATGGGCTCGTAATTCCGATGCATGTGAATTCTCTGCATGGAGCACACTGCCCGTTCATGGCAAAGCTCCCCACGTCCCATGCTCCTTTAAGGTGGGGTCAGTGTTAGGTTTAGGGAAGGGTTGACCCAAACGGTCAACCCTTGGCATCTAGACCTGTGAAAGACCTTAGCCTTGGGGAGGATGCCTGCACGTGGCAGCCAAGAGAGGTCTGCTGTCGGCATGGCAGTCATTGTGGGGAGCTCTTTTCTCCCTGCTGGACTCCGCAATTCCTTAGTACATTGCCATGAACAGCTCATAGGAGAGAGCTGTGATGACTGACCGAGAATAGGAAAAGGAGAGATTATTGTGGCGGGCAGAATGAGGAAAGCAGTTGATCAGAAGACAATTGAGGCTGAGAACTCTTTCAAGTGTGAACTGAAGTGGGATGTTTACTCCTTGAATTTGTTTCCCCCTTTTTAGAGTATTGTACCAGCCACTGCTTGGTAGTTCATTGGAGCTAATTAAGTCCAGGCTTCTGGCATTATATGTATGTGTATATATATGTGTGTGTGTATGTATATATATATACATACATGAAGTATATATAAGCACATATATATATATATACTTTGTAAGTGTTAAATCATTCAGGGAAAGAGGAAATTCATTATATTTACTGTGTCTTTGCAGATAAATATAAAGACATGAACTGGGAAATCCAATCCTATTTTGATTTCTTTTCTTTGCTGTGTGGGTGGAGTATATGGGCCCTGTTTCATTTCCCAGGCTGAACGCATCTGTGCACAAAACCAGGCCCCATCTTGGGGTTACCATTGGGACTGGCCGACTTAACGAACTAAGCTTGGCTCATGGCAAGGACAGCCTCTACGTGGTCATTCTGTGACTGTCCACGTCTTTCAGAAATAGCATGCTGCCCACTGTGCAGAAACTGACTACGTTTAATTGTCAGCCCCCAAAGGCATGAGATGGAAATGCTCCCACATACGTATACTTTCACTGCAGAGCTGGTCACACTGTCAGCTGAGTCCATTTCCGGAAAGTTCTGTTCATTGAACAGTATACTTAGCATCAAGACTTTTTAGAGAGCAATGAAATAAAAACAAAAAGAAGGTTTTTGTGCTCTAAGTAAGGAAACATTCATTTTTGCCAGGACCAAATGTGTAAAAAGAATAAATTATACTTTAAAGGAAACGGGAATTTCAAAATAACACCACCAAAAAAAGGGATTTTTTTTTTCCTACACTTTTAGTCAGGATTCCTTCTGTCAAGAGTGGTAACCCGGTCTTGGTAAACAATGTGCTCAGAGAAAAAAAAAATAAAGTTTTTTTAATTTCTGAATTCAAAATAAACATCTAAGTTTCCAGGAACATTTATATTTCATTTATACGATTCTTTGGTCAACCCAAGGAACTCAGAGCTCTGTAATAATGCCACTTACTTCTGATATTTTGATAACAAAAAGCATGGGTTTGTTCAACGTAAATGATATACCCTCAAAATGTTAATTTTCTGACTACTGAAAATAAAATTGGATTTCCTAGAAGTGACTGTAGGTTGGAATAAAACATTTAGTAGATGTCTGAGAATGTTATAATCATAGGATAGTTATGTTGATATTTTTGTAATTAATAAAATACATTTTAAAAGTCCCATTTAGAAGAAATAAGGACTCCATGAAACTCTAGGTCATTAGTAGTGAGCTGGGTATATGATTGTGTTTCAAAATGACTGTTCTGATCTGACTGTAGAGTATTTGTCATAAATGCCTAAGTGAATGTTAATGAGTTATTTACCATGTACTAATGTTAGCTTTCTTTCCCCAGATGCAAAGAGTTTAGCTGAAATGCTCATGAGGTAAGAACAAGACCTAGCACCCCAGATATCATGTTTGAAAGAACAATTTCCAACTTGCCTTGATGATTTCTATTTTTTTAATAATGGCAGTCTGAAATTGATAATGTCTTTTCTTTTTAGAAAAGACTGTAATTTCCTATACATTCCAAAATATCCATGTAATGCCTAGCTGAAGGTGTAGATGAAAATGATGTATTTGTAGACATGCCACAGGTAGTTGTCTTGTTGGCTGGACACAACCAATAGAAGGCTTCCCATTAGCCTGGGAACAGAAGCACGTAAAGAGGAAGTAGCTTTAGTTTTGCCTTCATCTAAATTTACTACTGGTGAGGTCAAGCCTTCTTTCTAACAGAATAATCCAAGTTAAAAGAAAAGCACAAAAGGAATGTGCTATGCCCCATGCTCTTCAAAGGCTCTGCGTCTCCATCAGCACCCTCCACCAGGGCACCCTTCAGCTCCTCTTACCACTGTCTGTTCACTGTCTATTCTGGTCCTGGAAGTCACAGCCTTCATAGTTCATCCTCGTGTTAGGAGTAGCCAGCACAGTAGTTGCCCCATTCATAACCGTGGAGGGGATGAATGAAGAGTGGTTATTGAATGAGTACGAGAATGTTCACAACTGTGGAAGACAGAAATGCATCCTTCACAGCTTTCCTTTCACACGTCCACAGGCTTGTGATTGGCAAAGCTGTGACAAGTGTGTTACTTTCACGTCCCCAAACTCTATTTTCCACCCAGTCCCCCTCTTCAAATGTTCAGTTTTCTTGTGCTGTCCAACCTTTTTACTCTGTAAATACTAGAACACTCTGATATGAAGCATTTACACGTATGGATTAATTGCCTGATGTGTTACCTCACCCCGATATTTGCATTTTAGGCCTTTCATATTGCAATGATTACATGAAAAGTGAAAAAGGAAAATCAGAGTCTAGGAAATAAGTAGGGAAAATGTCAAGGACTCCGATAGTGAACTCAACATTGCCAGTTTAGGATGATTTACGTGGGAGAGAGAGGGTGGATCTAGGACCTCTTCCCACTCCCATCACCAACACATTTGCCTGTGACTTCCTCCTCCATCTATACATATAAAATTAGTACTCTTTGTTATTTAAAAACTTCCCATGTTCCATATCACTAATATCTTTGAAGACCGAAGGCAGTAGTAGAATGCCATTGGCACACAGATTCCATCCTACAGACATTTTGTTTGGCCATACCGTATTTCAAAACAATGTGAATCGTAGGTAAAACAATGATATGAAGGATAAGTCTTTTCCTTTTTTCTTTTTTTTTTTTTTTTTGAGACAGAGTTTTGCTCTTGTCGCCCAGGCTGGAGTGCAATGGTGCGGTCTTGGCTCACTGCAACCTCCGCCTCAGAGGTTCAAGCGATTTTCCTGCCTCAGCCTCCCGAGGAGCCACGATTACAGGCGCCCGCCACCATGCCTGGCTGATTTTTGTATTTTTAGTAGAGACAGAGTTTCACCATGTTGGCCAGGCTGGTCTCGAACTCCTGACCTGAGGCAATTCTCCCGCCTCAGCCTCCCAAAATGCTGGGATTACAGGCATGAGCCACCACGGAAGGATAACTCTAAAATACATTTGTTGTGACTGATCTGATGAATGTTGGTGCCATCTGCCAAGATTAGGAAGATAGAGGCAGGCTATGGACTTTTGATTTTTTTGGAAGGTAGGTTGGGAGGAGGTATTGATGGGAATGAAAAGACCTATTTGGGTCATGTTGAATTTGGGATTATTTTTAAGGCATCCAGAGGAAATGTCAGATAGACAACTGGTAGCAGAAATCTGGAGCTCAGAGGAAAAGCAAAGATGCAAATTCCCTGTACAGTATCTCCTTCATAAGGGGTACTTCATCACATTTCCAGGAGAAGATTACAGAAATTGCATGAGATGCCTTCAGCCCGTGCTTTTTGTTTATGTGACATTTATGGGTCACAGGGAACACATCCAAACACACATGCACTTGTGTTAAGCAGATCTGATAAAACAAAGATCTGCTTAACACAAAGAAGCTGGAAAACAAAGAAGTCAGAGTCACATGACTTGTAATAACTGATCTACCTAATAAAAGAAATTGTCAAAGGTAGACTTTAAAAATATGAATTAGTTGATGACATTTAAAATGAGGAGATTTCACATAAAATTTGGCTTTCTGATTTCTCTTGAAAATGCCCTGGCCATACTAGCACCGCGGAGGTGATAATGGTGCCTGGAGGTAGGCACAGTAGCCCTTTAGAATGGCGTGAGTTTGCTCACCACCGCAGCCCCCACCCCTACCCCACCCCGGGCCTGCTTCACCAGTCCGTACACTGAGCAGGGCTCCTTCAGCCCTCCAGAGAGCTTCTCCTCCCCTCAACTGTGCTCTGCACAACCTACCCTGGCCCCCTCCCCTATCTACTCCCAAACTGTAAATCATGCCTTTGTCCAGAGGCTGTGAAACTGCGGGCTATATTTTCTGACATGTTCAACATTTGCTCAATTAGGATGATTTGCTTTTTCTCTTCTCCTCATATTCTAGAGTACATTCCTACTCCTTCTCCCTAGCCTCTGAGAAAGACATTAGCAAGCATCCTCTATGAATAGGGCAGTTGCTGTGGTTGCAAGACCATCTGTTGATAAGAGGAGGAATTAATTATGGTCTTCCTATTGCCAGTTACCAGCATGAATTAGGAAGAGTAAAGCCAGTAATCACAACCACTTATGATAGTTACAGTGGTTTTCCTTCAAATGGTCAAAGTGATTGAAAAGGAAGAGAATTTTCAAGCTCCTCCAATAGGTGGATTTGTATGGGATTAATTTAGAAGTAAAAGCAAAGCTTTTACCCATGAAAGGTTGGTTCAATCTAAGTTCGGCAGGTGAATGGGCCAAGCAAACAAAAACCTCATTACCTAACTGGTCAATTTAGGATCAACCATATTTGGACATGGCCCAGGGGGTCCAGACAAATCATGTCCACTGGCAGAGAGAAAGATACTGAACAGCTACCCCTGGTCTGTGTTGCTGTTTTCTCTAGAAGTCAAAGGAACTGGCAGCCTGGTACAGTGAGAATACGAACCACAAGTCTGTGCTCTAGGCCCCATGTGGCCATAAGCTGGTTTTCAGATCTTAGTAGGTCATTTTACCGCTTTGTTTTCCTTACCTAAAAAATAAAAATAAAATAAAAAATTCAACATTGTTTCTAGCTTTATCACTCCACATTCTGTGTTCTAAATGGATGTAACATTTATTTTTCAACCATTTTCTACCAAGAAGTATCTGCGTATTTCAGGGAGATTAGCTGAGGGCCAGGCCAGGAAGGCAGATTGGACAGCAGAACATACCCACTCAGTCTAGGTCCCCAGGGATTCCTGGCCTGGCAGCATCACCCATTGCTGGGCTTCATGCTCCTAGATATCCACCTGTTTCACCCATGCACATCACCCCAGAGAAGAGAGACTGCATCCCTCACACCCAGACAGAAAGATTGTCCTTTTATATTTTTATGTAAGATTTTTATTTTTAAAAAACAGCCTTCTAAGAGGTGTTTGCTCCAAAGAGATAACTGTATACTGTAGAGAGCTAACATATAATGTTTAAGGTCCAGGAATCAGCATTAGCGAGTGAGTTGGGTGTAAGCAGAAAAAGGTTCAAATTAGTTCAGCTTTTTTGATGTTCATATTTTTGTGCACATAATAAAAAATCTCTACCCTAGTGTTATAATGAGCTATGCTCCTAATAGTCCAATAGTCATTGTACATTTAAGGAATGTTCTGTGTCATATTTGGGAGGATGATGGACTATTAAGACTTTGAAGAGTGGCAGTGGCTGCAAATAATTGATTGGCTAAGCTGGGAAATTCTCTGCCCTATGAAACCGTCTCTGCTCTCCTCTTCTTCTCATTTTATTCAAACAACCAGATGGCAAATAAATGGATGGTTGAAGATTATAGCTCAATAATAACTAATATGTTTAGCATGATCCTATGCCATGCAAAAAAGATGCAATTTTTGCTTCCACAGTGAAAACATTTGGACTGTTTTTCCAGGTTGCAAATGAGGTTTGTTCAAATCACTTTTTTAAGGTTTGCTGCCATTCTAATGACCAATTGTTATCATTTTTGAGGTTAACAGAACACAGAGTGATAAATATAAATGTAACAATAGATTGTCAAAAGTGACAGCAAATATTAAGTAATGAAATAACTTAGTTGGAATCCAGTGACCTTTTAGAATGAGAAGGATATTATTGCCTCAAAACAAAGTCTTGGGGACATCTCACTCAGCTCACGTTGTGCCCTCAAAATAAATCAATGTGAGGATTTACTTCACAGATATTTATTGAGCACCTCCTTTGGCCATATACTGTTCTAAGTTCTAGGGAGACACAGGAAACAGAGCAGGTGAAGAAAACCCCGGTGGAGCATATTTTCCAGTGAGAGAGGCAGATAATGGATAAGATAAATCAACTAAGTATATGCTAGAGAGTAATAAGTGCCAAGCAGACAAAATTAAACAGAGAATGGGGACAGGACACAGAAGACGTCCCCATCGCAGGGCCAGCCTGGCTCCACTGGAAAGATGATGGCATCTGAGTCGAGCCTTGCAACAAGGGAGCCAGTATGTGGGTTTTGGGGGTAGCAGGGGAAGTGTGTTCTAAACAACGGGAACAGCCAAGTGCAAAGAGAAAGAAGAACTGTGAGTCCGGCCAGGCGCAGTGGCTCACACCTGTAATCCCAGCACTTTGGGAGGCTGAGGCGGGTGGATCACGAGGTCAGGAGATTGAGACCATTCTGGCTAACAGGGCGAAACCCGGTCTCTACTAAAAATACAAAAAAGCCAGACGTGGTGGTGGGCACCTGTAGTCCCAGCTACTCGGGAGGCTGAGGAAGGAGAATGGTGTGAACCTGGGAGGCGGAGCTTGCAGTGAGCTGAGATCGCGCCACTGCACTCCAGCCTGGGCAACAGAGCAAGAGTCCATCTCAAAAAAAAAAAAAAAAAAAAAAAAGACTGCAGTGAACTGTGATTGCATCACTGCACTCCAGCCTGGGCGACAGAGCAAGACCCTGTCTCTAAAAACAATTAGCTTCTGAATCTCGAGGCTTGTTGGGCCGTTTTCTTATAGTCTTCTGAGGAGGAAGAATTTACCTCCAGCCTTGGTTGTCCTGGTTCGCAGAGTTGAATCATGTTCTAAATCTTGGTGCCAGCCAGTCGCAGTGGTTCACAGCCATTATTTAGCCTGCTTCCTGTGGCAATCTGGTAGCAGACCCCTTATTGTTGTTTAAGTATAGCCTGCACTTGGTGTTCATCGCTATTTAATAGAGCAGCCGCTGACTGCCTCATAATTATTCATGAAGAGCAGAAGGAACTAGCTCACACTTCTATTTTTGGTGCAAGGACAAGCTCAAGTCCCTAGTGAGGTTTCTAAACAGATCTTTGGGATATTCACAGAGGAGTAGTTCCCCATATGTTTTTGTGGAAATATAGCTTGTCTAAGCATGCCGTAAATGCAGCCCCCCAAGTAACCAAAATGCTCCTCCTTTTATTTGATTATTTGAATTTTTTCATTACTCTCTTTTTAACAAAATCAACGAATGACAAGTTAGTTAAGTCAGTAATTTGAAAGAGCTTGGAGACCATGTGAAAAGTCAGGACAAAACGTTTGAATTTGGGCTCTGCATAATTAGCATGATGTAGGTACATAGCCCAGTTCCTTATCTGCAGAGCAAGCAATCTGGTTCAAGATCAAGTCCTAAGTAGGAATGTTGCACCTTTCAGAAGTTGTCTTTTTCATGGGATAATTTGCTTTTACTCAAACGAGGAGTATACATGGATCTCATCAGGCAAACATCTAAGGGGGTACTTGAGTGACCTTCACTTTGGGATAATTAAAGTTCTGTCCACCACTTGGTTTAAGAGTGGATGAGTCCTCATTAACAAGGAAGGATCGGTGGAGGCACAGCCCTGGGACTTGGGGTAAATGGCTCGGTTAGAGGGGAAAGCATTTAAAATGTAGCATTGAGTATTCCTATTTTGGTCTCCACTAAAAGTAACACAGAGGTAAACCATTATTGAGTTAACTAGGCTCCAGAAATCTTTCTCAAAACCAGTGTTAACAACAATTGAGCTGGATTCATGGATGCCATAGATTATGCCATTGATTGGATTATCCAAGTGACTGCTGCTTCTTAGAGGATGCTTCAGTAAATACTATTTGAACATCTAGTAAAGTCTTATTATTCTGTAAAGACTGAACAACCACCCTTCTAATGTGGATTGCTAATTAAAGTCTTTATTGACTTTTTTAGATTTTTGTGCAACGTGGAGTTTTTTTTTTAACTGCAGGCTATAACTGAATCCGATTCTACCATGCAGTTTTACTACTTATTTTCATTTACTTTTAGAGAACAGCTCACTCTAAGAGTAATCTTCTGATACACAAATTTTGAGATTAAATTATGATAGTAATTGCTTTTTTTCCATTCTAAAATGTACTATCAGTTAGGAAAACTAACGTCAGGGAAGCTAACAAGGTTTGTGATTTGCTTCTAGAACAAAAATAAAATGACACCAGATATAAATACAAATCCATTAGTAAAACTCCCATCCGACAAACAGCTGGTGCACGTGCTTTTTCCCTCACCATCTTTGGAATATCTGGTGCTTTATTCCTCACCATCACTGGAATATCTCACATCTGACAAATGAAAATGCTGTTGGTTTTTAATTGCTTTTCATTTGTTTCATTTAGCATTTACACAAGAAATGAGAACTTTCTAAAGATTCTATTGGTAGATATAGAGCCAATCTCTATTGACAATTTGTATTTTCTGAAACTCTCCAGCCAGCTGAAATTTAATATTAATAAATAAATAACATTTGAATGAAGGAAACGTTTTCATAGTATGTACGTTTTCTGTTCCCCTCCTCACAAGGTATTTGTATATTTAGACAATAAACTAAGTTGGTATACAGGTGCATGTTGGTAGAATGTTAACACTGAACTGGATTTGTTAATGCATTACCCCATTTTATTCCCAGTAAGAATACCCGGACTTCAGATACGTTAAGCAAGCAACAGCAGACCCTGCGAATGCACATCGACATACCCAGGGCTCAGCTTTTGATTGAAGAGAGAGACACGATGGAGACCATTGGTAAGCTGCCCTATTTGCCACTTTACACAAAGTGGCTGCCACAGCCATGCCTTCTCAATCCAAACCCCAGGATGTGGGAAATATTAGACAGGAGAGCGTCTTGAAGGCTACGTGAGTACCAAAGCTAGAAGGTAGAGAATTGTTCTTGTGAAGAAGAATCAGTACCAGCAAATGTGCAGAAAATTTGACTTATATATACCACCATATATGCCAATATGCCAGTCAGTTCCAGGCATTTGGGACAGAAATCCCTCAGCTCTGATCCATTTGGGATCTTTCCAGGGGAGGCTACGGATGCCACTCCAAGGAATAAACATCTGTAATCGAATACACATCAATCCAGAAGGCCTGCACTCTAAAGCCCCAGGTTGAAAATCCACTCCGTGCCCCCCTCATCAACTCTGATAATGCAAGCCTTCATTAAATAAAACTTTTAAACTGTACTTAACACTTAAACAAACACATGTCTTTGTACAGGGTATCGTCCCCCACACCAGTGCCCCAGAAACATCCTGCAGCTGTTTCCCCAGCAGCACTTTGGGAAAAACACCAGGGCCCTAGTTTTAGGGTTTCAGAACAGCCACCCTGAGGTTTTCTGGCTTGTTCAACCAGAACCCAGGTATCTTCACTCTTCCCAGCCTCTTTCCACCTGAAGTCCATTACCCCACACTGCCTGCCTCGATTATTCTATTTATTCCGGAGTGAAATACCTTATATTTCCTTTCCAGTAATAATGAGAAGAATAGCTAACATGTATTGAGAATTCTGTAAATGTCACATAGTTTTTATAAGCACTTCGTGTGCATTACTTAATTTAACCTTTCAACCAACATATGAAAGAAGTCTTGCTTTTGTAACCAAGATGTAGAGAGGTCTGTGTAGCTTTCCAAGGTCACAGAGACAGGCGCAGAACCAGGTTCCCCACCTGGCCACACTCACCGCCATGCTGTCTGTCTCCAATGACAGCTAGCACAGCAGCAGGCCACCTGCTTCCACACCAACAGGCTGCTTCCAAGAAACCCTCAACCAGAAGTTATCCAAGCTTTTGAGTGCCCATGGAAACACCCTGAGGCGGGCTCCGAGGCTGCCTCTTTTCAAACCTGGCTATGTTTGTTTTGGAAGGTGTTTGCTGGCATGAGTCCCAGGACAACCCTTTCTTGTGGTCTGGATAAACTGCCTGACTCTCAGCACATAGCCCAGCTGCCTCCTGCCGGGAAGGCAGTGGTAAGAGACCAGGTGGGCAGAACACCTGCTCCATCAACCATCACCCTTCTGCTGCCCCACCCACCACTGGAGACATCTTGACCTAATGGCTCCTAAATTCTAAGGCCTGGGTTCTCCTGGCTGAAGTCACATTTGGTCCAGGCATAGCAGCACTTAAAGATTGGTCAAGTGCAAAGTGGCTCTTGATCAGCTAACTTCAGTGAAACACTTCAGTTAAACCATGTATGTGAGGTGGCACTACCTGCCCTAAAGTACACAAGATTTTATTAGCTTGCTTGTATCAGGACAAGGGATAAGCTACTATGTTTTGCTTTTGATTATCTTTTTTTGGGAAAGGGGAAGGTATACCTGGAATCTCTTTTGTTTCACCCAGTAGATTGGGCATTAAAACTGAAAATTTCCTTTGAAAAAATTTCAAAAATTAGAATGTAATTCCTTTGACCATATAATTTTATAAGCCATTTATATGCATTATTTAATTTAACCCTTCCAGCCAACATAGGAAAAGTTTCTTTTGTAACTGAGACACAGAGAGGTTACATAGTTTGTGGAGGTCACCATGGTTATATAACACGTTACAATATTTGCTAAATGCGCCTCACTAGACAATAATCCTACATATGGCTATGAAAATAGATAGCTAGGCAGATGCCATGAGTGGTCTATGGCCTTCCAAGAGCTGGTCACTGGGGGGCTTAACACCAGAGGAAGCCTGCCAGTCATTTCCATTTGTAAATATGACCGTTCGCCAGAGATCCATCCCAGTCCATGCAGGATCATGTATCAGCAAGAGCCCTTGACCTCCTTGTGATGCCTGACAATGGGTCGATGGCATTTTCTAATTACTGGGAAGTGGAACTGTGGTGCTTCAAAATGCTCTGGGCTCTGACCACAAGAATCCAATATTACAGTGACATTAATTTCCAGCTAGAATGAATGGTTAACCTCATGATCAGACAGGCGCCCAAAATTTTCCATGAAAAGTGTGTAACCTAGCCCCGCAGATCATCTGGTGTGATCTAAAAGGGCCTGCCTGCTAGAAACTGTGACATATCCCATCATTAATGAAAAACAAATGTAGACACGGAGCCTCTCGTGCTGGGTCCAGTTGTAGGAAGCTGTCTCTGTGGAAGAGCCACCCTCTTTGAGGAGTCGAGTGACCGCCATGGGGCCGGACCTCCAAGCCAAGCCCAGGCGCCTGCTGTGGTGCCAACCTCACCGCACCATGCGCTGGGATACTCACAGACATCTTGGCAGCCTTTCCTCTATTTCTCTGCCAGGAAATTTTATTCTAACTTTGAGAGGCTTTCCTTTCCTGCCAGAGACTGAGTAATTGGATTTTGTAAGGTTCATTCTGTTCAGAGCCTTTTTTGGGCACAGAAGTCGAGCTGTGTTGTTTACGACTTTCGCATCCCTGTTGCAGTGTCAGGGCAGGGCTGCAGTATGGTCCCTGCTGACTGATAAACTCTTAGCAACAGCATCCTGGGCTGCAGTCTTTGAAAATTTATGAAAAATCTGTATATCCTAGCCAAAGTCTCCCTTGGAGTAAAAAAGCTTTTTAAAAAGTATGAAACATATCACAAGGTAGTAATGAGAATCCTGGCCCACCAAATAATGACCCAGCTCAAACAGCAGCTCCTGCTCCAAGCACTAAGATGCCCAGAACCCATCCAAACCCAGGCTCCTGCCTCGCTCACCTTCAAGTGCCCACGGCAGTAGGACTTGGGAAGTCTGACAAGTGAATCATGTAGGAGAAGTCAGTTAATGGATGTTCTAGAGTGCTTAAAGCTTACAGGAGGTGGGAAGAAAAGGAACATACCTTGAGTCCTTTAAAATAGAGCAATCAATAAGCTCTGAAGACTGGCATGTTTTCTTCTCTTTTATTTCCCCTCCAAACATTAGCCAAGTTCAGAATGAGAGCAAACCTCAGTAGAGAGAACTGTAGTGGCGATTTTCTAGTCTTGCAAACAGAGCTTCCCAGCAGCCAAAGGGACCTGTCTTCATTGACAGCCTCATCACTGGTGAGGGGGCTGGCATCGCAGATGATGTCTCAGAGAAGCTTTTGACAAACACATAAATCCAGAGTTCAAATCAATGTTAGCTTAATGAAAAGCCAAGCCCAAAGAGAAAAGAGAGCTCCTTCTCTGCATAGTCATGGTTCTTCTTAGCTCATTGCTCCCAAAGCCAACCCCTAGGAAGAAGCTTCTATTCCTAGCACTCTAGAGTAATGCTAATTCAGTGCTTGAATTTTCAATCATTTTTGTCACTTTAGATGGGGCTATTATTGTGGTTGTCATTAACAATAACACAAGTGCCTCAGGAGAGAAAAGGCCAGGGAGTGGTTGGAAGGGAGATAAACGTGTTTGGCTTTCTGTGTTCCTGCCATCCTGTAGATGATCGCTCCACGGTTCTGTTGACGGATGCTGACTTTGGAGAGGCAGCTAAGCAGAAGTCCCTGACGGTCACTCACACGGTCCATTACCAATCGGTGTCTCAGGCCACTGGGCCCTTAGTGGATGTTTCAGACGCTCGGCCGGGAACGAGTGAGTGGTCAACAATGCTTAAAATGTGTGGGTGTTAACAATGCTGAAAACATAGTAATGTTCTTTCTCTCTCAAATGAAAATGTGTGGCTTTTCATACCTATGCCTGAGAAACAAATGGGTATAATAACATCCCTAATTGGGATAATGAGCTGTTATTGATGGATCTTGGCTATTATTATGTCAGTTGAATTACTGTTAGTATTGGTTACTATAAAAAGTGCTAGAAATTTCAGGTACATGTATTTATTTTTTTAATTTAAGCAACACAGAAAAGGAAAAAAGTAATCTACTTTAGTGTGTATCTGCTGTATGCCAGTATTGGGATAGAACGATGATGTCATGCACGTTATCTTTGCAACAATCCTGTAAGATACCTACTCGTGAAGCAGGTATCATAGCCTCTATTCTGCAGGTGAGAAAACTGCAGCCTCAGATAAATTATGCAAACAGTATAAAGTTGCACACATAAGTAGTAAAACCAAGATTCAGAAACAGACCCATCTATCCCCAAAGCTTATGCTTTTGCCCCTGAACACGCTGTTTGAGAAAAATTATAATTCTAGTTAATGTGAAGATTATGTTGGATTTTGTTATTAATATTTGCATCCATAATATATGGAAATTAATTACTGCAATGAAGGTGAATCCCCTAATATGTATCTAGAGCTTATTAATTAGATACTCTTATTTCTTCATAATTGGAATCGTTCCTAAATCTCTTTAAAGACTGAGAAATTGATGTCCTGATTATTATCATTTTGGAAACTTTGACGTCTAGCTTTCAAATCTCTAATCAATTTCTTTGCAAAAATTTACATTCTTAGAATAGTGTGTTATTATTAGAAAAATAACTATTATAATGTTAAAAGCTATTCTTCATAAATCCTAGCTTGGGAAGCATTTGCGAAATGCAGTGAGCTTTATGAAGTAAACCCATTGCCTACGAAATAACATTGTAATATACAGAAAACAGTTTCAGCAGGCATTGAAATTCATTTAAAAAATGTTTTCAAGAATATTCTACATTCTAAAGAAGTCTTTTACCTCTTCCTTTTGTCTAATCTTCTTACCGCCTTTCTTCTTTGATCACATTAATACATTCTGAAGACATAAACGGGATATGAGTGGGAATTAGCTTTGCAAAGGGGTGTGTGCCAGAGCCTTGCTCTTAAAAAATGATCCAGACTGGGCGCAGTGGCTCAATCCCAGCACTTTGGGAGGCCGAGGCGGTCGGATCACGAGGTCAGGAGATTGAGACCATCCTGGCTAACATGGTGAAACCTCGTCTCTACTAAAAATAAGAAAAATTAGCCGGCCTGGTGGCGGGCACCTGTAGTCCCAGCTACTCAGAAGGCTGAGGCAGGAGAATGGCGTGAACCTGGGAGGCAGAGCTTGCAGTGAGCTGAGATCACGCCACTGCACTCCAGCCTGGACGACAGAGCGAGACTCTGTCTCCAAAAAAAAAAAAAGATTCAAGGGCTTTGACATCTCTTCAGCCGTTGGCTTCTCCCCTTGTGAACTGCCTGGTGTGGCTTGCTGCTACTCCAAGACACTGCTCCAATGGGTTTAAGAGCCACTTTTTTGCTGCTAAATCAGAAAAAGTTACAGATATTGAAAGGATTAGATTTTTAGAGTGATGCAGCATTGGCTTCAGCATTCTGTTGGAAACGGTGGCAGAAGAGCAGGCAAAAGAGACAACAGAGCAGATGCCCTGGGTCTCGTTCTCCACCTTTACATGCATCAGAATCACCTGGTGCCTATTTAAATATCAATTCCAGGCCTCCACCCAGAGATTCTGGCCTAGGAATCCGCATGGTAACAGACACCCTGGGTGATTCTGATGCTGGCCGTTTGGACCCCACATTGAGAAACACTGCCCCAAGGGTTAGAAATGTTTCCTGCATGTAACGCAGCAGGGCAGGACCCCTCCGGCACATCAGTTCTTCCTGCCAGGTAAAAAGCAACATGCATTTCTGCTTCCCTGTCAATGGTCAGCTAGCAGCCGAGAATGCATAAAGCTAGTCATAAATAGTTAAGACAGGAGAAGCAGCAGCCCAAAACAAAAGCACTGGCAACCTTCCAGCTTCATGGTCAGCCCCAGAATAATGGGGAAGTTGATTTGTTGGCATGTAAAATATCAACAGAGACATGAACCGGAGTCACAGCAGATACTGTAAACCAGTGGTCAGCGAGTGCCAGGCAGGACGCACATGGGAGGGACGTGTGTGTATCTCATGGCTATAAAGTTGGAAGCAGGGCTGGGAATGTTAATGCGTTCATTCAGCACTCAAAAGTATTTATTCAGGTTTCACTTTACGTATATGGCTCAGTGCTGTATGATGGAGATACACCATGAGTAAGATGCAAAAAGACATTCATTTCATCCTAGTCAGGGGGCAGACATTAGACATGGAACTAAAGTAGTTTTCATTTCTCAGTAAGTCCTAGACAGAAAGAGAATGAAGCCATGGTGAGTCAGCGGGCGTGTGGAGCAGTGGGAGGGGCTCTCTTGGGTCCAAGTCATTCAGGAGGACTTCCAGTGAGGGGAAGACATGAAACAAGATCAGAGTCACAGCAGGAGCAGAGGGGGCAGCAGGGAAAAGCTCCCAAGGTTCCCCGCATGATGAGGATGGAAGTGGCACTGGAGCACAGTGAAAGGCAGGGAAAAGGTGAGACAGAGAAACAGCTGTCCTCATCTTTCAGGGTCCCCTAAGCCAGTGCCTGGCAGGTGCATTTCATTCTGAGAGTGCTGAGATGCTGTCCCTGGGGCTTAGCCTGATGATCACAGGGAAACACTATAGCTTATAGAACAATGTTTCTGTCCTTTGTGCTGAATTTCACTAAATGATGTTTACCAACATCAAGCAAATCTACTCAAATGCATGCATCAGTCTCTGGTTCCCCCCTCACTCTCCAAATTGAGCGTATTAATTTAGCATTTGCAGAACCCTCTGTATTAGTAAAAGATCTGCTGGATCTTTTTTTCATTAAATCTTCCTCAAAAACCACAGTGTGAGGGACTGACAACACTCCGTGTTTTATTTAGAGTTAGAAATGGTAGGTGACTGGCCCCACAGTGGGTTCAAGAGTCTGAAACCCATGAACTTTCTGAAGCACAGTCCCCCACTAGCTTCTTGCACCAGAGCTTCTCACCTCTGCCCAGGTGTTTATACCTCTGTGAATTCCATGGAGCCGGTTCTTCTCACCACAGTTTGGCATACTTGCAGAGAATCATTTGTATTCTCTATTTTCTCAGCTAGAGAACACATCGTGATTCTATTTTGTATGTTAGGACTGTGTTGTCATTGCAAGAATTCTTTATTTTTAAGAAAAGCATCTAAAACATGTTGCTTGCATACCAGAATGACTGCATTGTAGAAGTTATGTTTCTAGGCATTTTATTAGTTTGCCAGAGGGTTGCAACAGATTCTTATGAGGATGGAAGAAATCATAACAATTTGCTATTTATCTCTGTCAGTAGTGAAAACACATCCCTTGGCTGGTTCTGCTGCACTGATTACTTCTCTGTCTTTCCTGTGGATTATAATACACTGGAAAACTAGGACTCTATCCATGTCCTCATCCCCATACCAGCCACAGTGTCTGTCTGACACAGGCATGTAGTGGATAAATACCAATCAGCCATCAAGTTCTGAGATCAGAACAATGGGAATGGAAAAGAAAAGACATTGAGTCATGTTTGCTGCATAGGAATCATGGGCACGGCCAGCTGTGCCTGTGCCATGTGCCCGGAGCACTTGGGCACATTAATCTCATTTAAACTTCAGGACAGCTCTTAACGTGGGTGATGACATCACCTAGTCTCAGAGACTAGGGGATTAGTCAGGTCTGTCTGACAAGGTCACTTGGCCAGCGACACAGCCAGGGAGTAGTGAATATGAACTTCCAGCCCAGGCAGCCTAATTCCAAAGCTCTCACTCTCAGTCATTCTACATGGCCTTTAGGTAGAGATACTACATATAGGATATGTAGAGACTAAAGAATAGACTTCACATGTACGCACATTCAATGACAAGAGCTTACAACATGGACTTGAATCTTTATTGCTGAGACTTTGAAAGAAAAAATGCCCTCTGTTACCCAGGATGGGACTAGCAGTGGCCCTGAGGGAAATACCTGGGGTGGGTGAGGTGCATCCAGTGGTCCAGGATGTAATAAGTGCTAGATAAATATTTTTTAGTTACATGAGGGAGTGTTCAGATCTCCCAGTTTCATCCTCTCTCTGAGACAACTAGTAAATTCGTTATGTAAAGCTGTACCTCCACAACTGCAAGATATGGAAACCAATGGCACAGATGAAAGCAGATTAATACCATGATCACAGTACGCATGACATGTTCTGTAACCTATTATATTATCTACAAAATCCTCTCTCATCCCAAACTCAGGATAATTAAAATAATCTGATTCAATGGGCAGAAGCTTAATTAGGGTTCAAACCCCATGTTGAAAGGCCATGAGCTATTTATATCCTGTGCCCTCCAACTCATGGGCTGCTGAGCAGGCATGAAGCTTAATCACCGAGTTTTATTTATATTAGAATGCTGGGAGCCTAACAAAATACTTTCCATGAAGGAGCAGTAAATCCCAGCGTTTATTTGCTCAGTAGATGAGCTAGTAAGTTACACAAAAAAGGCTTCCTGTGGAATCCAAGTAAAAATTATATTTTAGCTGCTATCTTAGTCATTATCATACAGCAGAGTTCAGTTCAGGTACAAAACAATGGCTCCAAAAACCAAATTATTAAAAAATAAATGTGTCAAATACCCCAGTATTCTACATACTGAGGCAATTTTGACCCTAGGATGCCTGCCTAGCGCAGTACAAACTGAGGGCTGTGGTTTAAGGAAACTAATATCATGACCTAAATTTTCAACATTATCAGGCCACCAGTAAAACTGTCCTCATCTAGAAAAAAAGAGATTATGAACAAAATTAACTTGAAAAGAGACCAGGCTTTGAATCAAGGCTGCATGTGCGACTTTCCCATGGAATTTTCCAAGTAGGGTGATCTCAATGAGGAAAGGGGCTATGACAGTGAAGATCTTTGCCCCACCATTGGAGAGTGAGCTCAAGCAGAAGAAATGAGGGTCAAGGTTTGGGGGATTGGAGGAAATGACTGTATCCTTGAAGTGGGACTAGCAAACTATAACCCCCAACCACCCCCCAACTTCCATGCCAGAAGTAAACCTGCTCAGAATGAGCTACAACAGTTGTAGTTGCAAGAAACTTAAAGAAGAATAAAAATGAGAATTTTCAAAACTTATGTAAGGGACTGGGTAATTTTCTGGAAAAGACTCATTAGCATTTAAATAACAAGCTTCACTTATTTAAGCTCCACTTATCAAGTCGATAGTGCCTGGAAGACATTTAGCCTCTTCCCCATCATAATGTTTTTCTGTCTTTTTGAGGGCCTCTTTCCTAGCATTTCGGTGAAGAAACCCAATTATCATTCATACCTGGTTGTGTAGAGCTCCAACATAACTCATTTACATTCTCATCAAGGACAAAAAAAAATCTAATGAAGTCTTCCGTGGAATTGTGCAAGTAAGGGATGAAATGTGTCTTAAAATCAATGCCCCAGAGAATATTTACCAAGATTGAGTATTCTGATGATTTAGGAGATCTTAAAATCTATCTCTTTGGCTGCCATCTTAACGCACCTCTCCAGCAACACAGAATGATAGATTAGATTCAAAGTCGAATTAACTAGAAACTTGCAGTGAGGAAATCTCCCGTTTAAAAACAAAGTCATTGCACCTTCCCAGTGTTAGCCTTTCACATTCCAACATGGAATTATAAGCAAGCCAAGGTCATGTAGACACAGCACTAGGAAACTTAGACACTCAGGATTTGGCCATGTGTGGTCAAGTAACAGGCGTTATCTGAACTGAAAAGGCAGAAGGTTTGGGTTATAGTTTTATCACGTAACAGCTATGTCACTTCTCTCTGAGCTTCCATTGCCTTCATAAAGTGACCCTAGGTCTATGAATTCCTTCAGAAAACTCTGTATGTCAGAGATTATTGTAGGCTCTATGAATGGATCCACAGAGGGATACCATTGCCCCTGCCCTGGAGACACTGCCAGGCTCATGAAAGCACATAAATAAATCGGTGCAATAACATTACAGGCCAGCCCTGTCAGTTTTGCTCCTTTGAAACTTCGTGAGAGCCCAACAGTGAATACAGTCTGCTGGGTTTAGAAGTGGCCAGACCATACTGAAATATAACTGTATCAAACTGCTCTTTGAGAAGCAGAGAATTCAAAGGTAGAAAAGACCCATCTAGGACCTTAAGCTGTCTCCAGGCTGGAGCCCCAGAAAAATCATTCCAGGTAACTGAACCTCTCATATTTTCCACAGAATTCCAGAAGAGGCGATGTTGTAGCCCATTCTGGTACCTGACAGTCTCTGCTGGTGGAACATCCTTCTTCTTACCTCACCAAAGGGTTGAGCTAAGAACTCCGTCCACCCCATAGACTTGCTGCCTTTGGTTCCAGATTTAGAGAAAATGAAACCCATCTGGCACCAGCTTAACCCTTTGTTCTCCATATTAAATAACCCAAGTTGTCTCTGTTAAAGTTAGGACAATTCTATTGAAGAGATGTGCTATCATAGGCAAGGGCTTAAGGAGAGTTGGGACATAAAAATACGGTCCCTCTGCTTTAGGAGCTTTCAACTTAATGAATAAAACAGTCATCATTAAAACAATGAGTAGTAATATGAGAAACAAAAATACAGGCAACATCTGTGTTAATTTCCTAGAGCTGTTTTAACGTAGTACCACCAAATGGATGGCTTCACAGCACAGAAATGTATTTGCTTGCAGCTGTAGCACTCCAGTCTCCACCTGCATCATCCCATGGCCCTCTCCCCTCCTGTGTCTGTGTCCTCTTCTTAAAAGGACACCAGTCACAGTGGATTAAGGGCCAACCCTATTCCAATATGACCTTGTCTTAGCTAATTTCATCTGTGATGACCTTATTTCCAAACCAGATCACACATTCTGAGGTCCTGGGGGTTAGGACACGAACATGTCTTTTGGGGGGACGTGATTCACGCATAACAACACCTAAGGATGTAGAAAGGAGGTCATGTTAGAACACACTGGGCTGAGCTTCCTTGTTTTACAGAATATGACGATGCCCAGGAAGTTTAAATGATGTGCATCGGGTCATAACATTATTTTTTGTACTATCATCCATTTAATTGCAGTTGCAAACATCGTAACCAAAGTACCTCTCTCAAGTCATTCTCTAGCACAGTAATTGGTTTCATTTTCTTTATAATCTTCATCACTGTTTGAAATTTTCTTGTTTTGTCCTGTAATTGTTGTCAGTCTCCCCTCATTCCATTTCTAGCTTTTAATGTTAGAAGGGTCATAACATTATTAAAGGCCAAGAGCAAGACTCAAATATGTAACTTCTGAATCCAAGTAGGGTGTTCTTTTCCCTGCAGGGCTGATTAAACACGTAAGTATCAGATGAAGGTTTCAAGCCATAAAGGAAAGGGAAAGTATCCTCTGCACAGGAGAAGTCAAGGAAGTTTTCCTGGAGGGCGTGGGCGAGTCGGCAGTGCTGGGTGGGTGGCACTGACCTCTACGCTTGCTCTCAGCTGACCACACTCCTGCAGACAAAGGCAGACATGATTCTTGGCTCTTCACAGATCCCACCACCAGGAGGAATGCCAAGGCTGGGCCCACAGCGAGAAACCGCTATGCCAGCCAGTGGACCCTCAACCGACCCCACCCCACCATCTCAGCACACACCCTCACCACAGACTGGAGGCTGCCAACACCCAGGGCTGCAGGATCAGTAGACAAAGAGAGCGACAGTTACAGCGTCAGCCCCTCGCAAGACACAGGTAGGCCCTGACGCTGCCTCCTCCGTCCCTGGGGACCAGCACGGCCCCCGCACCTTGAGCTTCATGGGCTCCTTGGGGAGGGGAGAGAGGGCTTCCTCCCTCTTACTTATGTTCTTTTGAAGGTCACTTTCAAATTGTTACGCGGTTTATCTAACAGTTACTAATACAACTGCACAGCCTTTACTCCACACAGGGCAAAACAGAGCCAAACTGCATCTATTCTGCAGGTGTCCTGAATCTTAGACCCAAGCTTATTTCTCCATTTAGTTCCTACCCCACTGGGAGAAATAGAGACATTTTTAAATTTTCACCCCCGTGATTGCAGTAATTGCTGATTACACTCTGAGGGCGTCTGACCCATTACCATCTCCAAGATTAAGACACAGCACTTGAAGTTACATGATGAGGTCATAGCACCCTCTATAGGGAACACAGGCTGATCCGTTTGACAATTAAACAGGGGTTGGTTATAAGGTAAGTCATCCAGTCTATGCCATCAACCACCAAGTTTTCACTTCAGAGAGAAGACAGGCCCTAAGAATAGCACCGGGTTGCCCACCACCCCCTCTTAAATTTTGAAAAGAAATTACATCTGAATCTAATAGCTGTAGGAAATTTTAATACTCATTTTTCTTTTGTTCTTGATGATATACTTCAAAAACAGTGTTCCAGAGGAGGATCGTCGCCATGTGAATTTATTTTTAAGGCTGTGATTTCTCTTAGAAGAGTCTCAGAGTTCCACACAGAGGAGACCCTAAAACTTTTTAGTGCATTTGAAACGCAGACATCTCCCTGACCAAGATGGCGTGGCCCAGCTCAAAGGCATGTGGGCACCAGTTTTTGTCCTGATGGTTTTCTAGTCCCCATAAAGGGTAATCACAACAGAAGACGCATCCCAGGGGTCGGGGGCCATTCTGGCTTGTGGCCAATTTCCGTGCAACATGACATCTTTATTTCTAAATATCATCACATCTTCCTTCCTGAGCTGAGGCCCCAGAAGCTGAACTGCAGCTCAAATCATTCATGCCAATTAAAGAGTCTCTAGGGCATAGATCCATTTGCAGGTTGGAGCAGAGAGGGGGCTGCTGCCTGGCTCCTACTGTTTTCACTAAAAGCAGGATTTTTTTTAAAGGGAAGGCGTTATTTATTTATGGAAATGTCCCAAGCTGGGACATCTGACTACAGCAATTTGGTTGCAACAAAGCTTCCCTTAACCGGATCTGCTGAGACTTGTGAAGCTGGCCTCAGAGTGCCTAAGGCAGGAGCCTCCGCCAAGGAGCCAGAACTCCTACCAGGTCCCACCATGATCTGGAAGAAAACAGCCCCAAGCCAGGAAGGGCCATGCCGTTGGTTCAGACTTCTGATGGTGAGTCGTCCGTCTTGTTTTTCTCTTTCCTGGTGTAGATCGAGCAAGAAGCAGCATGGTCTCCACAGAAAGTGCCTCCTCCACTTACGAAGAACTGGCCAGGGCCTACGAACACGCCAAGATGGAAGAGCAACTGAGGCACGCCAAGTTCACCATCACGGAGTGCTTCATATCAGACACGTCATCGGAGCAGTTGACGGCAGGGACAAATGAGTACACGGACAGTCTGACCTCCAGCACCCCTTCCGAATCGGGAATCTGCAGGTTCACTGCATCTCCCCCCAAACCTCAGGATGGAGGAAGAGTAATGAATATGGCAGTTCCAAAGGCACATCGGCCAGGTAGGTGAGCAAGGCCACCTGGGGGCCGTCGCTTAGGGAAGTGCACCTTCCTGGTCCTCCCTCATCTGCTGTGAAAGCCCTTCTCAGTGTTCAGACCAAATGGGTGCTCTGTTTATGGATGGCTGCATAACAAACCATCCCAAAGTTCACTGGATTAAAACTACAGCAGTCACTTACTTTGTTTATGAATCTGAAATTTGGGCGGGACCTAGTGAGGGTACCATGCTGCAGAGGCTCTCCTGGGGCTGGGGATCCACTTCCAAAGTGGCTCACCGACCTGGCTGTGTTCTCCCTGTGCTGGCCTCTCCACAAGGTGCTTTAGCTTCCTCACAGCATGGTGGCTGGGTTCTAGCAGCAAATGGTCCAAGATACAGTCTGTGGAAATAGCCAGTTTCCTTAGGTTGGGCCTGGAAACTGACACAGCTATCATTTCTGTCATA
Source organism: Homo sapiens (assembly GCF_000001405.40). Classification (NCBI taxonomy): domain Eukaryota; kingdom Metazoa; phylum Chordata; class Mammalia; order Primates; family Hominidae; genus Homo; species Homo sapiens. The sequence continues at coordinate 181,264 of NW_025791814.1, read as the reverse complement.
TTCTATTGGGCAAGCAGTCACAGAGCCCAAGAAACCCTGATTCCAGAGAAAGAGGCCCCCACTGCTTGATGAGAAGACTGTCAAAAATGTGAGGGCTGTATTTTAAAACTGCCGCACTGAGGGCTTCTGAAAGGGGAGAGGTCTTACTATATAGTCAGTGTTTGGGACTTGGCCTCACTGAATTACACAAGGTGATGGTAACTGGCTAACATTAAGTCAGCCAGCAGTTTGGTCTTCAACTTGAACACCTGTGAATCGTCCGGGTTGTGAAAGCTGCAAATTTTGAGGTCAGCAAGGCATGGCAGATAATAGAATGCAGAGGCTAGAGAACAGGGTCAAAGGAGCGAGGCGGACATGGGCCATTTCAGGGTTCACTACTGTCTAAAAGAAAAGACTCTAGCAAGGCCCTGCCAACTGATCGCAAGTGGAAATTGGGGTCTTAGTATGGACTTGTGTTTTAAGAGAAGCCGGAAAACTTGGTTTTATATGGAAATTCACAGCTTTTTAGTGTTGGCTTGGATATTTGTAAACCATTGTACAGGGCAAATAAAACCCATCTTTAGGTGGAATCCAACCTATGGCAGCCAAGTGTAGTTCTCATCTGAAGAACCACTTTTTCTTTTTCACCCTGAAATAGTTGCCTGTAGACTTTCCTTCACAGACTGATCTATCCAATCTTATTGAATCCAGTTTTGTTTCTCATTTTACCCATTTTCTACACCACTGTTCTAGTTCCATTTCAAAAAGTATCTTCACTTTTGAATTACTACAATTCCCTTGGGTTTTATGGGACAAGGCCTAGCTGAAATGAGCTTTATAAATGCATAAAAATATATAAAATAAGAATAGTTTATCCAGCAAATAATCTTCCATACCAGCTCAAGATTCATGCCAGCATCCAATAAAGAATGATGGCTTCCTTTATTTTCATTCTGTCTACCTCCTTAGGGGAAAAGACAAGCTGTTATTTGTGGGTGTTTTTATTTCAACTATTTTTTTTTTTTCGTGTTGTTGGCATTTATTTGCAAGGCAAATGGAGAAAAATGCAGGATAAATGCCATGACTTTCTGCAGCTCTTCAGCCTGAAGGTGAGGAGGACTGGAGAGAAGACCATAAGCCTGTGGGCATGTTGTATAGGCGTTCTCAGCTTCAGTTCCTGCATCTGTAAAATGGGAATGGCGTTGGTGACTGTGTACTGGGCTTCTGTTAGATGCACGTAGCATTATACAGGTGAAGGGGTCAGCAGAGGAGGCACTCAGCCATGTTAGCCATTGTTTCTGGCACTGGGTTGCTAGAATCCCCACTGTGACTCCAGCTGTACTGCTGACCTCCTCTTCCTTCTTGCTTTATTTTTCTCCAGTGACCACTGAAGTCCTAGCAGGTACCCACCTCAATTGTGTGTCACCCAGTTAAGTACTTTATGTTTCCACCTGAGATAGCATGCCGTCATTTTCCCTTTGTGTGTGATTTAGGGCACAGAATGAGCTTCTAGGTTAAAAGACTGTCCTATTTGTGCAGGCCTTTACATAATTACAGGGTTGAAGCTTGTTTTTGATGGCACGCTGCTCATATTGTTGGATTGTTTCTTAAAAATTTGACCTTTGCTCATGATATTGTGACCTGGACCCATTAGAGCAATGGAAGATCATAGCTAAGTTACTATTGTCTTCATAGACTATTCAGAGTAAAATGATTTTATAAATATAGGTTTGAATAATCTCTTAAATCAATGCAAGTTCAAATGTCCACAAACTTTGTTTTGTCTACCCTAGATGACTGCATTATTACTGAACATCTGATATGCTTTAGAAAATATTTCAGCCTTTGGAAACCTTTCCGTCGCTCCTTTATAATTCAACTAAATTCAACATTGGGCACAAAATACAAGGTTGCAGTTTACTATTCTGCTAACTAGAGCTTGTGATACAATTAGCAGCTCCTAGAGCTGTGCTTTTACATCACATTCTTTCCCTATATGCCCTCTTCACGCTAGATGATATTCGTCATGTCTGTTTCTGTTTATAGTCTTCCAAATCTCTCAATTTCTTCCTCCTCAACTTTAGAGCTTCTTTTCTGATGGTCCTTTTTTTCTCTTTCCCTTTTTATTTTTTCTGTCTTCAGTACAAATAGTTATGATCCCCAGACTTTGAAATTCTCTGCAAATTGCCATCAAGTTACATGAATTTGGCCAGACTGTGGCTTCAGAAAAATAGGAAATATGTCTTAGTTATCTTCATACTTCCTTCTCAAGGTCTAGCAGATACCTGATAGCCAAGTAGTTATCATGCAAGAATTATTTTTAAATGAATTAATAGTATTGAATACTCAATACTACATACTTAAAACTCTCTCTCTATACATAAATATATATATCTCCTGTGTGTGTTTATAATATACACATATATGGCCAGACTGTGTCTGGCACATTAGTAGATGCTTCATAAACCTTACTGTATGAATGAATATATCATGCTTGTGACAACAAAACCAACTGGTTAAATTGGTTAAAATATTTCAATTAATAGAAATTATAGTCAAATAAATACAAAAGGACATTTAAATCTACTCCAACTTTCAGTAGCTTTAATCAAAGTGACTTATTTTCCATTCTTTTTTTTTTTGATTTTTATTTCATCTGCATAATTTAATCAGTTTTTCCTTCACATATTCAAAAACCTACATTGGTATTTTTTTCTGACACGTTTCCCCTGTTAGACTTTAGTTTTTCTTAGTTCATATTCTTTTTCTTTTCTTTTCTTTATTATTATACTTTAAGTTTCAGGGTACATGTGCATATTGTGCAGGTTAGTTACATATGTATACATGTGCCATTCTGGTGCGCTGCACCCACTAACTGGTCATCTAGCATTAGGTATATCTCCCAGTGCTATCCCTCCCCCCTCCCCCCACCCCACTACAGTCCCCAGAGTGTGATGTTCCCCTTCCTGTGTCCATGTGATCTCATTGTTCAATTCCCACCTATGAGTGAGAATATGCGGCGTTTGGTTTTTTGTTCTTGTGATAGTTTACTGAGAATGATGATTTCCAATTTCATCCATGTCCCTACAAAGGACATGAACTCATCATTTTTAATGGCTGCATAGTGTTCCATGGTGTATATGTGCCACATTTTCTTAATCCAGTCTATCATTGTTGGACATTTGGGTTGGTTCCAAGTCTTTGCTATTGTGAATAATGCCACAATAAACATATGTGTGCATGTGTCTTTATAGCAGCATGATTTATAGTCCTTTGGGTATATACCCAGTAATGGGATGGCTGGGTCAAATGGTATTTCTAGTTCTAGATCCCTGAGGAATCGCCACACTGACTTCCACAATGGTTGAACTAGTTTACAGTCCCACCAACAGTGTAAAAGTGTTCCTATTTCTCCACATCCTCTCCAGCACCTGTTGTTTCCTGACTTTTTAATGATTGCCATTCTAACTGGTGTGAGATGGTATCTCATTGTGGTTTTGATTTGCATTTCTCTGATGGCCAGTGATGATGAGCATTTTTTCATGTGTTTTTTGGCTGCATAAATATCTTCTTTTGAGAAGTGTCTGTTCATGTCCTTCACCCACTTGTTGATGGGGTTGTTTGTTTTTCTCTTGTAAATTTGTTTGAGTTCATGTAGATTCTGGATATTACTTTGTCAGATGAGTAGGTTGCAAAAATTTTCTCCCATTTTCTAGGTTGCCTGTTCACTCTGATGGTAGTTTCTTTTGCTGTGCAGAAGCTCTTTAGTTTAATTAGATCCCATTTGTCAATTTTGGCTTTTGTTGCCTTTGCTTTTGGTGTTTTAGACATGAAGTCCTTGCCCATGCCTATGTCCTGAATGGTAATGCCTAGGTTTTCTTCTAGGGTTTTTATGGTTTTAGGTCTAACGTTTAAGTCTTTAATCCATCTTGAATTGATTTTTGTATAAGGTGTAAGGAAGGGATCCAGTTTCAGCTTTCTACATATGGCTAGCCAGTTTTCCCAGCACCATTTATTAAATAGGGAATCCTTTCCCCATTGCTTGTTTTTTCTCAGGTTGGTCAAAGATCAGATAGTTGTAGATATGCGGCATTATTTCTGAGGGCTCTGTTCTGTTCCATTGATCTATATCTGTGTTTTGGTACCAGTACCATGCTGTTTTGGTTACTGTAGCCTTGTAGTATAGTTTGAAGTCAGGTAGTGTGATGCCTCCAGCTTTTTTCTTTTGGCTTAGGATTGCCTTGGCAATGCGGGCTCTTTTTTGGTTCCATATGAACTTTAAAGTAGTTTCTTCCAATTCTGTGAAGAAAGGCATTGGTACCTTGATGGGGATGGCACTGAATCTGTAAATTACCTTGGGCAGTATGGCCATTTTCACGATATTGATTCTTCCTACCCATGAGCATAGAATGTTCTTCCATTTGTTTGTATCCTCTTTTATTTCGTTGAGCAGTGGTTTGTAGTTCTCCTTGAAGAGGTCCTTCACATCCCTTGTAAGTTGGATTCCTAGGTATTTTATTCTCTTTGAAGCAATTGTGAATGGGAGTTCACTCATGATTTGGCTCTCTGTTTGTCTGTTATTGGTGTATAAGAATGCTTGTGACTTTTGTACATTGATTTTGTATCCTGAGACTTTGCTGAAGTTGCTTATCAGCTTAAGGAGATTTTGGGCTGAGACAGTGGGGTTTTCTAGATACACAATCATGTCATCTGCAAACAGGGACAATTTGACTTCCTCTTTTCCTAATTGAATACCCTTCATTTCCTTCTCCTGCCTAATTGCCCTGGCCAGAACTTCCAACACTATGTTGAATAGGAGTGGTGAGAGAGGGCATCCCTGTCTTGTGCCAGTTTTCAAAGGGAATGCTTCCAGTTTTTGCCCATTCAGTATGATATTGGCTGTGGGTTTGTCATAGATAGCTCTTATTATTTTGAGATACGTCCCATCAATACCTAACTTATTGAGAGTTTTTAGCATGAAGGGTTGTTGAATTTTGTCAAAGGCCTTTTCTGCATCTATTGAGATAATCATGTGGTTTTTGTCTTTGGCTCTGTTTATATGCTGGATTACATTTATTGATTTGTGTATATTGAACCAGCCTTGCATCCCAGGGATGAAGCCCACTTGATCATGGTGGATAAGCTTTTTGATGTGCTGCTGGATTCGGTCTGCCAGTATTTTATTGAGGATTTTTGCATCAATGTTCATCAAGGATATTGGTCTAAAATTATCTTTTTTGGTTGTGTCTCTGCCTGGCTTTGGTATCAGAATGATGCTGGCCTCATAAAATGAGTTAGGGAGGATTCCCTCTTTTTCTATTGATTGGAATAGTTTCAGAAGGAATGGTACCAGTTCCTCCTTGTACCTCTGGTAGAATTCGGCTGTGAATCCATCTGGTCCTGGACTCTTTTTGGTTGGTAAGCTATTGATTGTTGCCACAATTTCAGATCCTGTTATTGGTCTATTCAGAGATTCAACTTCTTCCTGGTTTAGTCTTGGGAGAGTGTATGTGTCGAGGAATTTATCCATTTCTTCTAGATTTTCTAGTTTATTTGCGTAGAGGTGTTTGTAGTACTCTCTGATGGTAGTTTGTATTTCTGTGGGATTGGTGGTGATGTCCCCTTTATCATTTTTTATTGCATCTATTTGATTCTTCTCTCTTTTTCTCTTTATTAGTCTTGCTAGCAGTCTATCTATTTTGTTGATCCTTTCAAAAAACCAGCTCCTGGATTCATTAATTTTTTGAAGGGTTTTTTGTGTCTCTATTTGCTTCGGTTCTACTCTGATTTTAGTTATTTCTTGCCTTCTGCTAGCTTTTGAATGTGTTTGCTCTTGCTTTTCTAGTTCTTTTAATTGTGATGTTAGGGTGTCAATTTTGGATCTTTCCTGCTTTCTCTTGTGGGCATTTAGTGCTATAAATTTCCCTGTACACACTGCTTTGAATGCGTCCCAGAGATTCTGGTATGTTGTGTCTTTGTTCTCGTTGGTTTCAAAGAACATCGTTATTTCTGGTTTCATTTCGTTATGTACCCAGTAGTCATTCAGGAGCAGGTTGTTCAGTTTCCATGTAGTTGAGCGATTTTGAGTGAGATTCTTAATCCTGAGATCTAGTTTGATTGACCTGTGGTCTGAGAGACAGTTTGTTATAATTTCTGTTCTTTTACATTTGCTGAGGAGAGCTTTACTTCCAAGTATGTGGTCAATTTTGGAATAGGTGTGGTGTGGTGCTGAAAAAAATGTGTATTCTGTTGATTTGGGGTGGAGAGTTCTGTAGATGTCTATTAGGTCCACTTGATGCAGAGCTGAGTTCAATTCCTGGGTATCCTTGTTGACTTTCTGTCTCGTTGATCTGTCTAATGTTGACAGTGGGGTGTTAAAGTCTCCCATTATTAATGTGTGGGAGTCTAAGTCTCTTTGTAGGTCACTCAGGACTTGCTTTATGTATCTGGGTGCTCCTGTATTGGGTGCATATATATTTAGGATAGTTAGCTCTTCTTGTTGAATTGATCCCTTTACCATTATGTAATGGCCTTCTTTGTCTCTTTTGATCTTTGTTGGCTTAAAGTCTGTTTTATCCGAGACTAGGATTGCAACCCCTGCCTTTTTTTGTTTTCCATTTGCTTGGTAGATCTTCCTCCATCCTTTTATTTTGAGCCTATGTGTGTCTCTGCACGTGAGATGGGTCTCCTGAATACAGCACACTGATGGGTCTTGACTCTTTCTTTATCCAATTTGCCAGTCTGTGTCTTTTAATTGGAGCATTTAGTCCATTTACATGTAAAGTTAATATTGTTATGTGTGTATTTGATCCTGTCATTATGATGTTAGCTGGTTATTTTGCTCGTTAGTTGATGCAGTTTCTTCCTAGTCTTGATGGTCTCTACATTTTGGCATGATTTTGCAGTGGCTGGTACCGGTTGTTCCTTTCCATGTTTAGTGCTTCCTTCAGGAGCTCTTTTAGGGCAGGCCTGGTAGTGACAAAATCTCTCAGCATTTGCTTGTCTGTAAAGTATTTTATTTCTCCTTCACTTATGAAGCTTAGTTTGGCTGGATATGAAATTCTGGGTTGAAAATTCTTTTCTTTAAGAATGTTGAATATTGGCCCCCACTCTCTTCTGGCTTGTAGGGTTTCTGCCGAGAGATCCACTGTTAGTCTGATGGGCTTCCCTTTGAGGGTAACCCGACCTTTCTCTCTGGCTGCCCTTAACATTTTTTCCTTCATTTCAACTTTGGTGAATCTGACAATTATGTGTCTTGGAGTTGCTCTTGTCAAGGAATATCTTTGTGGCATTCTCTGTATTTCCTGAATCTGAACTTTGGCCTGCCTTGCTAGATTGGGGAAGTTCTCCTGGATAATATCCTGCAGAGTGTTTTTCAACTTGGTTCCATTCTCCCCATCACTTTCAGGTACACCAATCAGATGTAGATTTGGTCTTTTCACATAGTCCCATATTTCTTGGAGGCTTTGCTCATTTCTTTTTATTCTTTTTTCTCTAAACTTCCCTTCTTGCTTCATTTCATTCATTTCATCTTCCATCACTGATACCCTTTCTTCCAGTTGATCGCATTGGCTCCTGAGGCTTCTGCATTCTTCACGTAGTTCTCGAGCCTTGGTTTTCAGCTCCATCAGCTCCTTTAAGCACTTCTGTGTATTAGTTATTCTAGTTATACATTCTTCTAAATTTTTTTCAAAGTTTTCAACATCTTTGCCTTTGGTTTGAATGTCCTCCTGTAGCTCAGAGTAATTTGATCGTCTGAAGCCTTCTTCTCTCAGCTCGTCATAGTCATTCTCTGTCCAGCTTTGTTCCGTTGCTGGTGAGGAACTGCATTCCTTTGGCAGAGGAGAGGCGCTCTGCTTTTTAGAGTTTCCAGTTTTTCCCCATCTTTGTGGTTTTATCTACTTTTGGTCTTTGATGATGGTGATGTACAGATGGGTTTTTGGTGTGGATGTCCTTTCTGTTTGTTAGTTTTCCTTCTAACAGACAGGACCCTCAGCTGCAGGTCTGTTGGAGTACCCTGCCCTGTGAGGTGTCAGTCTGCCCCTGCTGGGGGGTGCCTCCCAGTTAGGCTGCTCGGGGGTCCGGGGTCAGGGACCCACTTGAGGAGGCAGTCTGCCCTTCTCAGATGTCCAGCTGCGTACTGGGAGGACCACTGCTCTCTTCAAAGCTGTCAGACAGGGACATTTGAGTCTGCAGAGGTTACTGCTGTCTTTTTGTTTGTCTGTGCAGCCTACAGAGGCAGGCAGGCAGGCCTCCTTGAGCTGTGGTGGGCTCCACCCAGTTCGAGCTTCCAGGCTGCTTTGTTTACCTAAGCAAGCCTGGGCAATGGCGGGCCCCCCTCCCCCAGCCTGGCTGCCACCTTGCAGTTTGATCTCAGACTGCTCTGCTAGCAATCAGCGAGACTCCATGGGCGTAGGACCCTCCAAGCCAGGTGCGGGATATAATCTCGTGGTGCGCCGTGTTTTAAGCCCGTCAGAAAAGCACAGTATTCGGGTGGGAGTGACCCGATTTTCCAGGTGCCGTCCGTCACCCCTTTCTTTGACTAGGAAAGGGAACTCCCTGACCCTTTGTGCTTCCCGAGTGAGGCAATGCCTCGCTCTGCTTCGGCTCACGCACAGTGTGCGCACCCACTGTCTGGCACTCCCTAGTGAGATGAACCCGGTACCTCAGATGGAAATGCCGAGATCACCCGTCTTCTGCGTCGCTCACGCTGGGAGCTGCAGACCGGAGCTGTTCCTATTCGCACTTATTTTCCATTCTTGCCCTTAGCAAATCAAAAAGACATCTCTTCAACAGATAAAGGGGTGCTCTCCCTTGAAATGAGGATAGCTGTCCACAAAGCAGGCAGCATTATCTAGCTGTAATTTTAATGCTACCTGAATTTTGAATTTGCCTGTACAATTACAAGTCCTAAAAATGCAGCAAATTATTGTCTTCTTCCATAAGGGATGACTATTCCCATCTCTACAAACAGAAAACAAAATTCTCTATTCTTTTGAGAAATAGCTGCAAAGTTTAACAATTTTTTTTCCTCTGGGTCAAGGTGGCTTCCAATTCTTTGATTACAGTACCCATTCTTGGTTTCAGGTAGCATTTTGAGCCAGTTGCAAACCTTCTTGGATTACTGCTTCTTCTTCTTATGATGTTTATCCTGTGCCGTCAAGAGAAGCCATTACATGAAGCTACTTAATTCAGTTTCAAGTTTCAGACATGCACCCTAACACAGCCTGCCCCACTAGTGGTAGGGAAAGCATCAGCCCCTTTGGATCTCTGTGCTCATGCCCTCTGGGCCCCAGACACAAGGTTATGAGTTTCAGCCCCTTCCTTGGGGAATGCATTTGAGGTTGTTTTTTTTTTTTTTAGTGGGAAAAGGCCACTGCCTGGTGCCAACTTGTTAATTCACTAAATTGCCAGTAATTCGAAAGAGTTACTGGATTTTAATTTTAGGATCCATTCATCTTGCATCACTCTCTCCTGAGGGTGTGAGGGTGGAGAGTAGGAGGCGGGCCCCAAGGCATGCAGAGAGGCCAGGAGCCCTTACCTGAAGAAAGAGCCTACCTCTGCACAGGTCAGCACTATTCTGACCAAGGCTGGCCACCGTATTCTCAGTTGTCATTTTGACCATGCTGTTTTCCCTCTCTGAAGTCTGGGTATCTGTCATGTTGGCTCTGAAATCAAAACAAGACACCAGCAGTCCAATCTTCAGAGCTAAATAACCCCCACCCCCAGCTTCACTTACCTATATCTCCCTCACTGCCTGAGGACTTGGCTCAGGCAGCTGGGGTGCCAAGCCTCGGGGCTTGCATCTTCCTCCTCTGTTCTGCACATCACTAAAACTCAGTTTTGAAATGTTTATCATAAATATTATACTAAGGGTCTCCTTTCAAATGCAAGTCTCTTTGATGCCTACACGTGTGCTTGCGCACACACATGCGTGCACACATACACATTCACACACAAGTACACATGCATGGACACATATATGTTGACACACATGCACATGTACGTGGATACATAAGCACATGCTCCCATGCATGGATACACACAGGCACACACACATTCTCACTGCACTGCTCTGCGTTCCACCCTTCTAGAGGAAGGCTTGCTCCCTCCCTCTCAGCCTCCCTGCTCCTCTGTCTTTTTTTGCCATGCGTGTGTTGAGTGGACACTAAATGACTGGTCCTGTTTTGGGAACTGAGGATGCAGTGATTGATAGACAAGACCCACAGAGATCCCCACTGATCAAGTAAACAAACAAATAGTATCGTTCCCGACTGTGGTGAGTGCTGGGTGGAGAAGCAAATCCAGGAAGGGGATAAAACGTGGGAGGGGAGTATTTTGGAAAGAATGGCCCGGAAAGGCCTCTCAGGCAATGAGACGTAAATGATGGGATGGAAGGAGCCCTGCAAAGATCCTTCTGGTGGTCCAGAGAGCTGAGCAAAGATAAAGGCCAGGAGATAGGAATGAGCTTGGCGTTCACAACAGGGATCAAGAGTTCCCTCTGAACTACGACCCTTCAAACACTCCCATAGAATTTTAGGTTAAAAGAACCCTGGGGCCATCCAACAAAGCCTCCACATACTGCTGTTCACGCCCACTCGATGTCGACCTAAATATTGGCATGTGCTAATCCTGATTTCTGCTGGAAATCCAGGTCTCTCTGAGGAGTATTTGCAATTTTAGCTTCTTAAGGGCTCTTATAGAATTTCAGTGTCTTCTTAGTAACTCTCCCTCAGACTCAGAAAGTGACAGTAGGACCTGTTCTGAGGGGTTCTCAAGCTTAGAACTCTAAGCCCTTTGCCTGAAATAAAAGCTTAGCATGTATGTACATGGGGTCTTCTGCAGCCACTACCCTGCAACCATCCTCCTGCCACTGTGTTCAAGAGGCCATCCCCTGTACCTCTGACCTTGTCCGGTGGTCTGGCTGGTTCACTGTACTTGCTGCAGTTGCTAAGCTGGTGTTTGTGTCCTCTTGTTCCAGAACATGTATTCCCTGTGTTCTGATTCTCTTGTCTGACTTCTGAGCCCCTTAAAAGGCTCACTGTTTTTCTTGGGTAGCTTATTGGGGTTCAGTTCTAATCATTGCGAAATCCTGGGCTGTGCCAGTTCCTCGAGAGGTGGAAAGTGATGGGGAGGCATGTACCTTAGAGAACAGT